>NW_021159988.1:0-84043 GCF_000001405.40 Homo sapiens
AGTTTACAAAGTGGCTATTCATCTTCCAAGGAGGGATAGAATGAAGGAGCTAAAGACAGAGGGAGAGAAGAAAGAAATGCAGAACAGG
Source organism: Homo sapiens (assembly GCF_000001405.40). Classification (NCBI taxonomy): domain Eukaryota; kingdom Metazoa; phylum Chordata; class Mammalia; order Primates; family Hominidae; genus Homo; species Homo sapiens. The sequence goes on from NW_021159988.1 coordinate 89, forward strand.
GAGCGGAAACGGGGGCTCCTCCCTTGCAGCACCTGAGACACGTGATCTCTCTGCCTGTTCCTTCCTCCAGCACCCAACCCCCTCTGCCAGCAACTTCCAGATAATCCCACTAAGAATTCCAAGCAGGTCTCATTGCTTCTTGGAAAGTAGCCGGCAGAGGCCCACACCCTGAGCGTGCGAGTCCGGTTCCGAGTCCTGAGACTGGCAGAGAACGCTCCTGGGAGGGGTTGGCCTTCCCATTCCCCTGAGTCTGGGCCCAGGCCTGCCACATTCCATTCTTCAGGTCTTAAAAGCCTCCTATTCTTTTACAAATCACTGGTTCAGACCTAAATTATCCAGATAATTGAGCCGCCTGGCCCGTCATTTTGTTGGCATAGACACCATTTATGTGTAATCTGAGAATATTCTATCTGCCGCGGAGTTTCTTCCAAAGGCATTATTTCTAACCTTCTTTAAGAAACAAATTTCCTGTTGCCATGGAGATCATCTTTTGGCTAATTTTATCAGGCTCAGGAGCCAGGCTGGAAGCAGCTCTCTCCTGTCTCCCAGGTTCTCTACTTTGCTGAGTCCCAGGTTGTCTGTCAAACGAGGCTCTCGGATCTCAGCAGCCTGCGCATGAGACAATTCAGATGATGGCTACATTTTGGTTTTGAATTTTAAAAGCCTTGACATCATCTGCACAGGCATTTTTGATTTGTTTTAATGAGAAAACACATACAATAAAGATTCAGAGCTGATAAGTTTCATAAATGCATGCTTTCTGGAACCTGACTGTGAGGAAACTGTTAAAATGAGAAGTTTCTGAGCTAGCAAAGACTGTAGAAAATTCAGAAAGAGGAAAAGGCATTGCTTGGGCGCCAGGCCTTGTGCTGCCCTGAGGTGTACTAGGGGAAGCGGGGAATGGAGCGTGCAATTTGCCTCTTTCCAGCTATCTGGGGATAATTAAATTGCGTCAGTGCTTGGAGGGACTGCAAGGGTCATCTCTTTTAAAACTCTCATTTTATAAATTGGGAAATTAATCCAAATTCTCTGGAGTTAGATTTGGTTCTTGGGAGGGTTTGTACCCAATGTCTCTGGACTTGCAGTCACTTGGGATAAAATCCAAACGAAATCCTCCCAGGCTGGACCAGGCACATCTCCCTCCAGACTCTGAGGCACTCACAGCTCCCGTGCAGCCTGCTTTTCTCACCTCCGTGTCTTTGCACAGTCTACCTTCTGCTCTTTGGAATGCACTTCCACTTTCGTACCCTCTTGGACAGTTTTCGCTATCCTTCAAAGCTCACCTCAAGTGTCACCTTTTCAGGAATTCTCTAGGCTGGGTCAAGTTGTCTTACGAAGCCTTCACACTGTGCAATTATTTGCACATGTGCCATTTTGTCTACTGGACAGGGATCTCTTTGGGGAACGTGTTCTAGTCACCTCAGAGTTCTGGCTTGGAGGAGACACTCACTGAATGAAGAAATCAATAATCCCAACAGTTAACATAGGAGAACCTACTAAGCACAGGTATTGTATTAATGTATTGGTTCACTTAATATGAAGTGATATTAATATTAGAAGGTTGATACCTCCTAGGATTAGTGGGAATGTTAGGTGAGCTAATACATTAATAGCTAATACATTGTTTGACTGTTGAGGAAACTGAGGCATAGCAAAGGAACTTGCCAAAGGCCACGCGGCTAGACAGTATTGGAACCAGGATTCAAACTTTGGCGATTTGCGTCCAGATTTTTCACTTTTAACAGTTATGGGTTCAGGATATGCTACCCCAAAATATGGCACCTTGGCATTTTAGAAAACACCAGAAGCAGGGAAGTTTTTCTGACCCTGTCCTGCCATTCTCCCCTGAGGCAGGCCAGAAAGAATTCTCTGACCTTTCTCTAAAGTGGGTCCAGAGGGTTCCTCTTTATACCCAGACGAAAGGAATGAAGACACAGAGGCACAGATAATAATCTGGATAAATGTGTCTTACTAAGATCCCCGCCACCGTAGTTTATTCACATTCTTTTTTATTTTTATTTTTATTTTTATTTTTATTTTTATTTTTTCGAGACAGAGTTTTTGCCCTTGTCGCCCAGGCTGGAGTGCAGTGGTGCGATCTCAGCTCACTACAACCTCCACCTCCCAGATTCAAGCAATTCTCCTGCCTCAGCCTACCGAGAAGCTGGGATTACAGGCATGTACCATCATACCTGGCCAATATTTTTGTATTTTCAGTAGAGACAGGGTTTTACCATGTTGGCCAGGCTGGTCTCAAACTCCTGACCTCAGGTGATCTGCCTGCCTCAGCCTTGCAATGTGTTGGGATTACAGGCGCGCACCACCACAACGGCTACTTTTTATATTTTCAGTAGAGACAGGGTTTCATCTTCTTGACCAGGCTGGTCTCAGGCACCTGACCTTAGGTGATCTGCCCACCTCTGCCTCCCAAAGTGCTGGGATTACAGGCATGAGCCACCCTGCCTGGCCAGGTTGTTCACGTTAGATCAGACCATTTTGTCCTTCAGTCACACTTCTGAATGACTGTCCATAAAAATACCGTTCTCCAGCCAGGCACGGTGGCTCACGCCTGTAATCCCAGCACTTTGGGAGGCCGAGGCGGGCGGGTCACGAGGTCAGGAGATCGAGACCACAGTGAAACCCCGTCTCTACTAAAAATACAAAAAATTAGCCGGGCGCGGTGGTGGGTACCTGTAGTCCCAGCTACTCGGGAGGCTGAGGCAGGAGAATGGCGTGAACCCAGGAGGTGGAGCTTGCAGTGAGCTGATATCGCGCCACTGCACTCCAGCCTGGGTGAAGAGCAAGATTCCGTCTCAAAAAAAAAAAAAAAAGAAAAAAAAATACAATTCTCCTGATTTCTTTGGGTCTTCATTTCTTTCTTTTGTTTTGTTTTTTGTTTTTGTTTTTTTTTTTGAGACAGAGTCTCTTTCTGTTGCCCAGGCTGGAGTGCAGTGGCTCGGTTTCGGCTCACTGCAAGCTCCGCCTCCCAGGTTCACGCCATTCTCCTGCCTCAGCCTCCTGAGTAGCTGGGACTACAGGGTCTTCATTTCTGAAGGCTTTGTGTCACATAAAACTTACATAAATTTGTACGTTTTTCTCTTGTCAATCAGTCTTTTGCTATAGATGCCTCAGCTGTGAATCTTGTGATGGGTGAGGAAAGGTATCTTTTTTCCCTCCTATAACAGGTATTCTAGATGCCTCTTGGATCAATGAGCAGGCCTAGCGTGCAGGTATAAACCACACTTTATAGCTGAGGAAATGAGCATGATGATAAGATGCCTCTTCCCAGGTCACATGGGCAGTGAGTGATGAAGCCGGATTCAAAGCTGGAATGTCTGACTTCAAAGTTGATTCTCTTGCTGCTTCACTGTACTATTTCCAAAATTAAGTATGAAATTATGCGGCACTGACCACAAATGTTGTGGAGACCACTTCTCTTGTGAGACTTTCTAATTTTCTCTTATGATTTCCATATAAAATACTTCAATTCTGGGATCACCCCTACTCTCTAGCACAGAAAACCCCAAGGCTTATCTCTTCTTCGTACCTCTGAGACGCGTAACAAGTGCCAGTGTGACAGGGGGCAGTTCTCTCCATCACAGGGAACCTTCCCTAGTACCAAGATTGTGAGCAGATGGTTTTTATCTTAGTTCTGTTTCTTCAATTTCGATAATACATGAACGGGTCCTTTAGCCTGAAGTTTTCAATCAAAGGAATAAATGGAAAGGAATCAAACTCTCTTCACTCAAGAGACAAAGATGCTGATGCCTACTTGTATAGATGGTACCTGTAGCAGTAAAATACTTGCAATATGTCCTTGGGATGTGATCTTCTTCCTCAGTAGGAGGTTGGGAAATTCCTCTAAACTAGAAGCAGAAGGCTGGCCAGAGGCACTGTCAGTCTTGGCCTTGCCATTGGTGCCACCATCTCGTGAGGGCTCTGTGTGTTCAGATCAGGCTCGTTACTGTGTGCAGCAGAGTGGTACCTTTCATGCTGCCACCCTTACTTGTACATGTACAGTTTACTAAGACAAGATTGACATGCTGATGGCCTTGGCCACAAGGTCTTGGAGCTACACTGACCAGAGCATCTTTTTGTAAACCCTTAATTTATCCCAGTGGTCACATTCCTGCCATCTGCTCTAGCCTCTAGTTCTCACTGTTTCCTTGAGTCTTTAATTTCAGCCTAAGAAAGGGGTCCCTGTCAGACTGACTGGCAAGGGGGCAGATTTCAATACATATGACCCTATGGCTGCCTTTGATTCTCCTGCATCAGACTTCCTCTTTGTTGCATCACTGATGCAGAGGTGCAGCTCTGCATCAGGTGCAAATGCTGAAACCAGCCTTCAATGGCATGCCCCAGCTGCAAAGCCCGATGGGGCTTTTACATCCTTAAAGGTGCAGTGGTCTTGAGTGCGTGGGCACCTACCCGGCCAGTCTTTTATTTTTCTTGCTCTGAATTCCGAGAGCATGTATTCAGGCTCTACTCCACTTGGTATGTTCTGATTTGTCTGCCATTTCTCCAGGTAAGGGTCATGTTCCTCCTGGGCTATGAGACACTCCAGGCAGTGACTTTGTGTTATCCTCTCTGAGTCCTCCGTGCCTAGCAGGGAATCCGGTACAGGATGAGTGCTCAGAATGTATTTGGTGAATGAATGAATAAATGGATGGTAAAATAAGGGAAGATAATGGCAGGTTCTCTTTTTCATTTTAAAGCTAAACTTGGTCTTTATTCAATAACTTTTAATTTGAAGCCTTTAAAAATTTGGAATGAAGCCCCAAGGTCATGGGTTTGCCTGTTTTGTTTTGCTTATTATTGTTTTTTTTTGGTGGGGGAGAATTATTTATTTTGGCTTTCTTGTATGCATTGGGTGCCTTTCTGCTTGCTTTAATTCTGCTTCCATTTGAGATGTGAGTCCTTTAGAAACAGCTAACTTCTGAGATACTGGAAGAACTCCACACCAAAAGCCTTGATGTCTGGGTTCGAATTTCACTCTGCTGACATCAAGGTGGCCTTTGAGACAATCACTTCTCCCCTCGGCATGTTATTGATTTATCTATTCATAAATCTCTAAAATGTGGAGGTAAACTAGATGATCTCTAAGTCAGCCTTCCTCTCTCTCAAATGTTCTCTAACTATACTGCTTATGGTAAAGTTTCATTTTTGATGCCTGATTAGGTAGAGAGGAAACAGATCTTCATTGTCAATGCCACAGTTATTCAAGCACAGCGGTGGTTAAAAGGTCTGAGGAGGAATTCACCCGGCCAAGCTAGAGGAGTGGGAGGAAGAGCCATTCTCTGGGAGGGTTTTCTCCATCCTCCAGATTTTTCACTTTTTTTTTTTTTTTTTTTTTTTTTTTTTGAGACGGAGTCTCGCTCTGTCGCCCAGGCTGGAGTGCAGTGGCGGGATCTCGGCTCACTGCAAGCTCCGCCTCCCGGGTTCACGCCATTCTCCTGCCTCAGCCTCCCAAGTAGCTGGGACTACAGGCGCCCGCCACTACGCCCGGCTAATTTTTTTTTGTATTTTTAGTAGAGACGGGGTTTCACCGTTTTAGCCGGGATGGTCTCGATCTCCTGACCTCGTGATCCGCCCGCCTCGGCCTCCCAAAGTGCTGGGATTACAGGCGTGAGCCACCGCGCCCGGCCCAGATTTTTCACTTTTAACGAATGATGGGTTCAGGATATGCTACCCCCAAATATGACACCTTGGTATTTGAGAAAACAGCAGAAGCAGGAAAGTGTCTCTGTCTGACCTTCTGCCATTGTGACTTGAAACAAGTTAGAAGAGAATTCTCTCACTTTCTTCTAAAGTAGGTCCAGACGGTAACATATTCCAAGGTGTGGTGTCCTGAAGCAGCTCAGTGTTGCTGGAGCATGAAGTGTGAGGAAGGGGAGGAGGCCACAAGGTGTGGCTGAAGCTCCAGGCCGGGAAGGTCATGGAGGTCCTTCACACAGCGGCTGGGAGGTTGGGCTTTGTTTCAGAGGCAATGTGGAGCCTCTGAAAGATATTGGGGGTAGGGGGGCGGGGGGCCTGAGGCGAGGAGTAGCCTATTGTAGGGAATGAACTGTCATGGAAGACCCGGAAGTAGGGTGGCCAGCCTGGAGGGTGTTGCGGAGAGTGCAGGTAAGAGGTGAGAAAGGCTTGAATGGCGCAGTGATGGAAGGAGAGGAGAGGTTGACAAGCCTCCTAGAAATAAGCAGAAAGTGAAACGGCAGGAGTCAGCTCTGGTTTGGAGGTAGGGATTGGAGGCAATTTGCAGGGGCCTCTTTTGGCTGCTCCACCTCACGCAAAGTACACAGGGGCACAGGAGCCACCATGAGTTCATTGTTGGGCGTGTGGAGGTGGATGGCGGGTCAGCGGCCTATCCTGCTGGAGCTGTCTTGCAGGCAGCTGGCCATCCAAGTTGGAATTAGGGCCGATCGCAGCTGGGAATGGAGGCCTTGTGGCCTCCTCCCCTTCCTCACACTTCACACTCCAGCAACACTGAGTTGCTTCAGGACACCACACCTTTGAATATGTTACTGTCTGGACCTACTTTAGAGGAAAGTGAGAGAATTCTCTTCTAGCCTGCTTCAAGTCACAATGGCAGAAGAAGGTCAGACAGAGTCACCCATCTAAATTGTTAATGGAATAACCAAGAGTGAGCTTTTAGGGCAAGAAGACATTGGTCCAGAACAGGGCTGAGGAGACAGTTCTGTTTGAGGGATGGACAGAGGGACTGCTCACTGAGAAGGAAGCAATCCCAGGGGGTTTGACTTCAAGAACTCTAAGAAAAGAGCTTCAAGATAATGTGGTCAACAGAGCCAGACACGGTGGAGGGGTGCCGTGAGATGAGGACTGAAACCATCTCACTGGGTCTGATGAGTGAGTGTAAGTTCGTTGGAACACTAAGAACATCATCAACTTGGGATCTGTGGAACCCAAGTTAGAATGTAGACTACTCTTTTTTGCCTGTTGAAAAATGAGAGAGATACATTAGACAATAGAGATGTGGTCAAGGAAAGAATCTTTCAGGATGGAGGAGATCTGAGCCCACTGCATCCTGGAGGAGCAGGGCTGGAAGAGAGGAAGCAGTTAAAGGTACGGTGTGTGCGCATGTGTCTCCGTGTGGATGTGTCTGTCTCTCTCTCTGTGTTGGTATGTGTATATGCCTGTGTGTCTCTCTCCATGTCTCCGTGTGTGTGTCTGTGTCTGTGAGTGTGTTTGTGTGTCTCTGTGTGTGTGTATATGTGTCTGTGTTTTGTGTGTCTAAGAGTGTGTCTGTCTCTGTGTTTGTGTCTGTGTTTGTGTGTCTGAATCTGTGTCTGTGTGTATGCCTGTGACTACGTATGTGTTTTTGAGTGTATGTGTGTGTCTATGTGTCTGTGTGTGTCTATGTGTCTGTGAGGATATTGTGTGTGTGTCTGAGTGTGTGTGTCTATGTATCTCTCTGTGAGTGTGTCTGTGTGTCTCTGTGTCTGTGAATGTATATCTATGTGTCTGTGTGTCTGACTCTCTGTGTGTGTCTATATATGTTTCTGCCTCTATGTGTATGTGTCTGTGTGTCTGTATCTGAGTGTGTGTGTGTCTGCGTGTATGTCTGTGTGTGTCTGTGTCTGTGTGTATGTCTATGACTGTGTGCCTCTGTGCCTGTGTGTGTGTCTCTGTATGTCTTTGTGTGCGTCTGTGTGTATGTGTGCATCTGTGTGTATATCTGTGTGTATATCTGTGTGTATGTGTATCTGTGTCTGTGGGTGTCACTGTGTGTGTCTGAGTCTATGTGTGTGCCTGTGTGTATCTATGTGTGTGTGTCTGTGTGTGTATCTGTGTCTATATGTGTTCCTGTCTGTGTGTGTCTGTGTGTTTGTGTCTGTAGATGTGTCTTTGTGTGTGTCTGTATGTATCTGTGTCTCTGTGTGTGTCTGTGTGTGTGTCTGTCTGTGTATGTCTATGAGAGTGTGTATCTGTGTCTGTGTGTGTGTCTCTGTGTGTGTCTGTGTGTGTATGTCTATGTGTGTTCCTGTCTGTGTGTGTCTATATGTTTGTGTCTGTGTGTGTCTCTGTGTGTGTGTGTCTGTATCTGTGTGTGTATGTGTGTCTGTGTGTCTATGAGTGTGTGTGTGTGTTTGTGTGTCTCTATGTGTCTTATGTGAGTGTCTGTGTGTCTATGTGTGTCTGTGTCTATGTGTGTCCCTGTCTGTGTGTGTGTGTGTGTGTGTGTGATGGTGAATATTCCAGGGGCGGCAGGAAGAGAGGAAGACCAGGGCACAGGTAGAAGAGTTAGGCAGCACACAGGGACCCTCAGGAGGGAGTTGAAGAAGGGCCTCGTCTGGTTACCCATTCTTCCTGATGTCATAGGAGGCAAGGACATCTGTGAGAGTGGGGTGAGAGTTGAGCTGTGAGGGCTTGGGGTACAGGCTTAGACTTATCTTTGAGGAATGGGAGGGAGCTGTCCAGAGACAGGTGGAGAAGCTGCTCAGGGATCCCCGAAGTTGGCAACCACAGGTCGGTATTGCAGCAGTTTGCACAGTTGTGAAATTAAATGTTCCCCTGTAGCTTTCGGCCTGCAGCTGTGGGAGTAAAGAGGGTGGGCAGTGACGCTGGCACAGGACAAGGCTTTGCTGGGCCCATTCAGGGGACGTGGGAAAATGCTGGCATTCATCGTTCGGAGGCTCCTCTGCAGTGCTGGTGACAGCTGGAGACATTTGCTCAGGACCCATTGGTTGCCAGGCCTTGTGTGGGGTGTCGCGGTAGTGAGATAGACAGGACTGAAATTGGACTCTGGGGCGATGTGGCCCGGGCACCTGTGGAGACAACACCATCATTAAAGTCACTGGACCGGGTTCCAACGCTGCCACAAGCACGCTCAGTGGTCTCTCCTCTGCCCCAGGGTCCTCCTCTGTGATTGATGTTAATAATATTTGCTTCATAGTAATAGTCATTATTGTCAGGCAGGAATCGATGGAGCTTTCTTTGACCCTGTTGGAAACAAGAGTGAGGGGTGAGTTGAAACTCAGCTCTATCCTTGCTGGACTCCTTGAGGGGTCTGCGTGTGCTGTTTCTCATCATCCTGGTCATCATCAGACCTGCCCGTGGTGGGCTCAGGTCCCAAGTCCTTTCTGAGCCATGTGGCCCTGGTGTATGCTATGACTTTGTGCTGTGCAGATGGGCTTGTGGCGCTGGTTGAGGCCCAGCTGAGCCATGAGATGCTACCGGCCTGGATGATGGGTTATCAGAGCCCTGTGCAGACCACACAGACGGCTGCCCAGAACCCCACTGCTGCCGGCTCTACCACCCAAGCAGTCGCTAGGCCCCCCTCCAGCTGCTCTGACATTCCCTTCCCAAGGCCTAAGAAATGCTCTGGCCAAGCTAGATGATCACAGAGTTCAGTGGACTCCTGGTGCACTAAAAGAAAACACACACAGTGTTAGGGCTACGGAGGGCATGGTTGGATGTTTGAGGCAAGACTGCTGTTAGTCAAGGAGGAGGGGAAGGGGCGGTGCCGGAGGAGGCAGGACGCCCTGAAGGATCCAAAGGTCAAAGGAAACAAATATTGCAAAGCAGCTACTTTAAGCCAGGAATTCTGTAATGGTTATTTCTTTGGTTCTCTCTGAAACCCTGTTAAGCAGGCATTCTCATTTCCAGTTCATAGATAAAGAAACTGAGGCCCAGGGAGATTGTGCCGAGTCTGACTCCAAAGCCTGTGCCCTTTCCACTACACAACCCTTGTCAGAACCAGCCCTTAAACAAGGTTCACATCCAAGTCATTTATTATACATGGAAAGAGCTTCTGAGGCCTGTTGAGGCTGATTTGCATAATTCATTTTTAGAACATTAATTAGCCGGGATGTGTAATAGTTCTTGTGCCAATTTGTGTTTCAATTTCAAATGCAAATACAAATTAGCAAATGTTATTCCTGTGGCACCTTAAGGATGAAACATTTGCTGCTCGTCGTATTAATCTTTACATTTCTGAAACTATCACTGATAGAAGCAATAATATCCTCTAATTTGCAGGATTGAGAAAAAAATGTAGTCTGATGGGGGCTGGGGTGGGTGAGAGGTTAATTCTCTTTCAGCAAAAGAAAACAGCATCCATCCATCGATTAAATAGTGCTGAGTACCTACTAAATGTCAGACGTTGTGGTAGCAGGCAGAGATAGGGCCAGGGAGCACCCACACTTAGAGTTCTATAAATACACAAGCATACTATGTTGTGATGTGTATTAGAATAGGCCTGCACTTTAAGCGGTGGAACAGAAAGATTGGAAGGCCTAGAAATGTTTTCCAAAGATGGAGACACGGGGCCAGCCAAGTCTTGGAGGGGAAGCTGGAGGAAGCCTGGTCAGTGTCCTTGGTGGTGAGGGGAGCAATGGTGGCAGTGGGGATAGGATGAGAGAAGACAGAGACAAGAAGAGACATGAGAGCTGGTGTATTTGGGGAACTCCAAGCCGTTCTGCACCACTGGAACTCAGGATTATTTGCAGGTGTGACAGCAGGGGCAGGATGATGGACAGATTGCATGCTGGCTGTTCTTTGGAATTCACTCTGCAAACCTGGGGGAGCCATTCACAGAAGCAGCTGGTTAGACTGACATTTTAGAAAGCTCACCCTGGAGGCTGTGTGGAGAAATTTTGCAAGGAGGGGATTCAGTTAAGGAGTAGACAAAGGGTTGGGATAACCCACCAGTGGAAGAGGAAGTAGAGATGGGGGGTGGGGGACACTGTCAAGGGATATTTTAGGAATATCACTATAAGGAGGCAATATGGGGCGGTGCTTAGAACTCATCCCACCCTCTTGCCATCTTAGCTCTAACCTCGGGCAAGTCTCTGACCTTGAGCGAGTCTCTGCTTTAGCCTGCTCCTCTGTAAAACAGGCATGATAATAAAAATGAGCCCCATCTCATACAGTTGTTTTTCACAAAGGAAACACTCAAGAATTGATAGAGATGATAGGGAAGATGATGGTGGGATGGTTTCTAACTGGATGTAGGGGCTGAAGGAGAAAAAGGTCTGGACAAATGTCCAGATTCCTGATTGGGAATGCTGAAATGGGTGTGGTTACTCTTCATTCAATAGAGAACCTGTGGAGGCAGAGGTTTGAAAACGAATAAGTCAGTGTAGACAGGGTAGGGGCAGGGATTTGGTAGACAATCTATTCAGGTTCTAGAAGCAGTCTTCTAAAGGCAGCCCTCTCGTAATCATCAGCCCCTGTGTCCTTCTCAGCAAGTCCAAGGTTATACTCTTTAGCATCTCTAAATAAATACAATACAATACAATATAATACAATACAATACAATACAATACAATACAATACAATACAATACAATACAATACAATACATTATTGTTGACTGTAGTCACCCTGTTGTGCTAGCAAATACTAGATCCTATTCATTCTAACTATATTTTTGTACCTATTAACCCTTCTCACCCACCTTCCCCTGCCCCTACTTTGGCACATTTTGTTGGCTGAAACAATTCACAGAGGCAATCCACATTGAATGTGGAAGGTCTACAGTGGGAGGTGACTACAGCAGGATGTGGTTCATGAAGAGCCATTTTTCGAGCCCCCCCCCCCCGTGACAGATGCGTACACACGTTGTCTGTCTTCGCAATAATAAAGTAATCATTATAATGGGCCATGCAGCTAATAAGTGGCAGCCACTCCAGCAGGCCCTTTGCATACAGTTTCGTCTTTGCAACACCCCTTCAAGGCTGTTGCTACTCTCACTTCACATGTAAGGAAATTGGAAATTGAGGTTCTATAACTAGACTTTGGTCACAAAGTTAGTAAATGGTCTAAACTGGATCTGAATATGGATTACGCTAACTCTAAAGCTCATGCTTCCTTCTCTCCTCCATGACAGATGCTGTAACAGATCTTTAGAATCCCAGGGATAGCATCTAACCTAGTCTCATGGTGACGAGGTACACTTCATGGCGGTTGTGATACTTGATTGCCAACCTTCCTCCCAGTCCTAATATTTCATGTAGGTCAGTTACAGTCTAGTGTAAATGGGGTTTCATTGGGTGTTAACTTTACATAGGATGAGGCCAAATCACTTTGGTACTCTGGGACTCTGGCTAGAACTACAGGCTTTTGTTACTGTCCAGCATCCAAGTAACTTTTTTTTTTTTTTTTTTTTTTTTTGAGACAAGAGTCTCACTCTGTCTTATAGGCTGGAGTGCAGTGGTACGATCTAGGCTCACTGCAACCTCTGACTCCTGGGTTCAAGCGATTCTCCTGGCTCAGCCTTCCAAGTAGCTGGGATTACAGACATACGCTACCACACCTGGCTAATTTGTATTTTTAGTAGACACAGAGTTTCACCATGCTGGCCAGGCTGGTCTCAAACTCCTGACCTCAAGTAATCTGCCTGCCTGGGCCTCCCAAAGTGCTGGGATTACAGGCGCAAGCCACCGCGCCTGGCCCAAGATAACTTTGTTATACTTAAGTAAATAATATATGTATATATAAATATACCCAGACATCATTACACAACACATGGTGGAAAATGTTCTGTACCAACCTCTATGCTTCTAAGATGGAGACATGAAGCACCAGCAATCATTTGGTAAAGGAGAGTGTTGATAAATTAGTGATATCAAGTTTAGCAGTGACTAAATTACCTCATATTGCCATGGAAAATATACCAAGTATTAGCAAATCTACAAAGAAGTGAAGTTGCAGTGTCATATTGAGGCTGGCATACCAGAAATTTAGTTGAAAGAACATTTGTTTTTAGCAGATGACAGCTACTCAATTACTGGAACATCGTGCTGGGCAAGGCCAACTTTCCCTGTGAAAGTTAAAGCTGAATTTTGTGTTTTTTCCGCAGAGAGTGATTGCCCACCTTCTACAGGTATGTATCAGGATTTATAACCTTCGAATAAGTGTTTAGAAACCCAAGCTAGAACATATGTTAAGAAAATAGAGCAGTTTAGTAGTGACAGTTGAAAAGCTACTGTCATACTACTGTGGGGTTTTTGGTAACAATTAAACTGAGAAATGAGCAACAGAGAATCTCCCTTGGGTGAGCCTGATGAAAGTGCCCTCAAGCCTGGGCAACATAGTGAGACCCCGTCTCTACAAAAAAATAAAAAAGTTAGTCAGGTATGGTGGTGTGCCTGTGGTCCCAGGTACTCAGGAGGCTGAGGCAGGAATGTCGCTTGAGCTCAGGATATTAAGGCTGCAGTGAGCTGTGTTCCCACCACTGAGTTCCAGCCTGAGTGACAGAGCAAGATTCTGTTTCAAAAACTAAAACAAAACAAAAAACAGTGACCTCAATTTGAACCTGCAAACTTTTAGTTCCCCTTCCATTTGAGGAGCACGATGGGAAGGAACTTGGGTTCTCTGGGACTCAGTTTACCTAACTGTGGACTAAGGAGGATAGATGAGATAATATTTTTTTAGACCTCTGTCTGTTCTTTCTACAATTTCTTTAGGAATCCTTTATTGTGAAAATTCTAAATCCATCAGTCTATAGTTATTTTATGTATTATATCATGATAGTGATTTTGGATTATAGGGATTCCTCAGATATGGAAGGACAGGCTGTTTCTACAAAAAACAAAAACAAAACAAAAAGTCTCAACAGTATTTCATAGGTCTAGATTTTCATATTTATTTAAAGCTATTTGATATAATTTGGCTCTGTGTTCCCACCCAAATCTCATTTGGAATTTTAATCCCCATGTGTCAGGGGAGGGACCTGGTGAGAGGTGATTGGATCATGGAGGTGGTTTCCCTCATGCTGTTGTCATGATAGTGAGTGAGTTCTCATGAGATCTGATGGTTTAAAAGTATGTGGCAGTTCCCTACTCACTCTCTCTCTCTCCTGCCACCATGTAAGACGTGCCTTTCTACCTTGTCTGCCCTTCGCCTTCTGCCATAATTGTAAGTTTCCTGGGGCCTCCCCAGCCATGTGGAATTGTGAGTCAATTAAACCTCTTTTCTTTATATATCACCCAGGCTCAGGTAGTTTTTTGTAGTAGTATGAAAATGGACTAATATACCATCTAAATGTATTTATTCTAATTTTCTGAATTCCACTCTTTCCCAGTCAATGTCATTTACTAAACTTGGCAAGGCTGTGAATTCAACTTCTATTGTAATAGGTGCAACCTGTAGGATTAAATTTTGGGTTTCACTTTCATCTGTATCAAACCTGAAGATATAAGAAAGTGGAGGTTCTTTTAGGGCTGACACAGAAGTTTTCTGGTTTTCAGATTGTTCTTTAAGCTAGGTGTTCAAAGTCAGATCTTTCAATTCTCTTCATGTAAGCTCCTCAGTGCAATCAGAAACAGCTCCTCTCTACCCATCCAAGTTATTGTAATTATTATTCTCTACATCATCGGTAACTTGATCTCTTAGAACTTTGCTTTCAGTGAGCACATTATCACAGACAACCACAGGTAATAACGTAAGCAACTGCTTTGTCCCTGCGCAATTATAGTTGTGGTCTACTAGTACTTGAAACTTGTCTGCTAGAATGCCATTTTATTTCTCTCTCTCTCATTTTTTTTTTTTTTTTTTTTTTTTTTTTTTGAGATGGAATTTTGCTCTTGTTGCCCAGGCTGGAGTGCAGTGGCACGATCTTGGCTCACTGCAACCTCTGCCTCCTGGGTTGAAGTGATTCTCCTGCCTCGGCCTCCCGAGTAGCTAGCTGGGATTACAGGCATGTGCCACCACGCCCAGCTAATTTTTTGTATTTTTAGTAGAGAATCACTGTGTTAGACAGGATGGTCTCGATCTCCCAACCTCAGATGATCCACCCACCTTGGCCTCCCAAAGTGCTGGGATTACAGGGGTGAGCCACTGCACCCGGCTAGTATGCCATTTTCACTATACATCTAGATAACTAACCTCAGGTTCGCAATTTTGAAGTTGGTTGCCAGGGTCCAAGACTGTTGATGCCATGGAGCTGTTGGAATGACTGCTGCTATTGCTGCAAACACATTGCTTTTCAGGAAATCAGATGCCTGCTGCTGTTAAGAGCACAGGCTCTTGGGAGGTCACAGTGGCTTGCTTCTGTTCTGTTCCTCCAGGGTCAGAACCCTCAGGTATCAGGCCCCTGAGATTGCTGACATGCTGCTGCCACTGCTAGAGTCAGAGTCTGTGAGTGCCATGCTGCTGGCACATCCCTTCTCATAATGTCATTACCAAAGGATCTGTGCTGCCTGAGTAGCAGAAACCCAGGATTCACACTTGCCTGCCACTTTTGTTGCTGCTGCTAGAAGCAAAAGTAGGAAAAACAAAATGGCTTCTCTCTTTCTCCTGCCTCTCAAGAGGAGTGTCTCCAGGCAGTGTCTCCCAATGGCAGAGCCCTATCTAAAGCCAGCTGGCAAGGGAATCTGGGCTGTGCATATATGTGGTTTTCAGGCTTCCAGGCTCCTGCAATTCAGAGCAGAGAGAGAGAAAGAGTGAGGGGGAAAAAACAAGGAACTGGGAATAGAGCTGTTAGCAATCTGTAAAATGGTTGGTGCCTATATTATACACCAGATAAGTTACTAGGCATAATATAGAATTGAAAAAAATTGAGCCTCATGGCTCAAGTATCCTACTTATTTTCCTTCCTTTATCCATGCAATCCAACTTTTCAGCTCCTCTCACTAAGAGGTGGGCCCTACTTCTTCATCACTTGAATCTTGGCTTGCCCTGCGACTTATTTTAGCTAATAAAATATAGCAGAACTGATAGTGCCAGTTCTGAGCCTAGGCCTCAACAGGACCTCTGTGTTTTCACTTACCTTCTTTGAGTCATGCCTCCACACAATAAAAAGCCCAGGTTAGAATGTTGGAAGTTAAGATACATGGAGCAAAGACGAGTTGTACCAACTGAGGCTTCACTGTAGACCAGTTAGCCCTTAGTCAATCTGCCAGCTAACCATGAACACATGAGTGAGTTCAGCCGAGAACGGCTAATTCCAGCTTCCCAGACAACTCAAAGATTGGTGATTTTAAGCCACTAACTTTTTGACTGATTTGTTATGCAGCAATAGCTAACTGATACATCTACTCTCAAGAGTGCAAAACCCAGCAATGAAGAGATAACACACACATAGAGAGAATGAAAAGACATGGTTATGTAATGTATATTTACTGCTCATTAGATTATACAGTATGTCACGCTCAAAAAATTTCCAAGGAGGGGAGGAAGTTCCTGTGGACTGAATTTTTGTGGAGTCTTTCAGTAAGAGATAAAACATGAGCAGGGCCTCGAAAAGTTAGCAGTATTTCAGTTGACCCAGATGCAGCAAAATATTTAGGAAATAGTACAACAACAACCAGTCTTTTTTTGTTTTGTTTTTTGTTTTGTTTTGAGACGGGATCTTCCTCTGTTGCCTAGGCTGGAGTGCAATGGTGCAATCACAGCTCACTGAAGCTTTGACTTCCCAGGCTTGAGCCATACTCCCACCCTCAGCTTTGCAAGTAGTTGGGACCACAGGTGCATGCCTCCGTATCTGGCTAATTTTTTTGATTTCTTTTAGAGACGATGTCTCGCTATATCACCTAGGCTGGTTTTGAATTCCTGAGCTCAAGTGATTTTCCTACCTTAGCCTCCCAAAGTCCTGGGATTACAGATGTGAGATACTGCATCCGACTGACAACCAACAATTTAACACAAAGATCAAATGTATTGAGTGAAAATTTTGAAGAAGTCATCACTATCTCTTTCACCTACATTAATATTCCTTGTTGGGCAATAGCTGAGTGCTGTCAGAGTAATGAAACATGTAAACAAACCCATATATTTTTAAAACAAGTTCAATTACTATAAACATTTTTCAAACTAGCGCAAAAGTCTATAGTTATTGAAGAATAGTTGGAAATTACAAAGAAGAAACATTTCTCATCTAATCTATAATCCCACTTACAGAAGCAGTCACTATTACTGTTTTAGTATATTTTTCCAATCTTTTAAAAACACATATTCACATGGTAAGTATCAAATGGTAAATATAATTTGTGTAATTCTTTTGCCCTTTTTGTTTTAGACAGGGTCTGGCTCTGTCACCCAGGCTGGAGTGCAATCTCGGCATACTGCAACCTCTGCCTCCCGGTTCAAATGATTCTCGTTCCTCAGCCTCCTAAGTAGCTGGGATTACAGAAATGTACCACCATGCCTGGCTAATTTTTGTATTTTTAGTAGAGACAGTTTTAGTAAAGACAGTTTTGCCTTATTGGCCAGGCTGGTCTTGAACTCCTGGCCCCAAGTAATCTACCCACTTCGGCCTCCCAAAATACTGGGATTACAGGCATGAGCCACAGAGCCCAGCCTACCTTTTCTATTTTAATAAACATTTTCACATTTATTAAATTGTCTAAAAAATGTAGTTTTTAATGACATCATAATATTTTACTTTATCGATGTACCATTATTTAATCTTTTCCCTGTTTTGGACAATTATGTTGTTTCCTGTTTTGTTTTATTGTAAGTAGCTCTAGGACAGCCACCTTTCTGTATAAAACATATTTAGATTATTTACTTAATATAGCTTAATAGAACAAATTTTGTGCATTTTTAGGGGGTGGTGGTATATATTGTCAAATTTCTTTTCCAGGCACCACTTATTTTATTGCATCTTTCCTGAGTTGAGCACAGGCAAGTATATACATGTATATAGAGTTACTTTAATAAACACAAATCGGAAAACCTGTTGTTGTTTTAATTTGCATTTCCTTAAGTATGAGATAGCCTGAACATTTTTTCATGCACTTATTGACTCTTTGCTTCCCTTTTTTTTTTTTTTTTTTTTTTTGCGTGTGAACTGACTGTTCATGGTCTAGAGAATTGATATCGACATCAAAGTTCTTTTGTGGATGACCAGCTGCTCCTTGCCTCCCGTGGGATGTGGGCTGTGCAGTAGGGAAGCTGTCATCTCCGATAAAAACGCCTATAGGATGGGCTGCCTCACATGGCCGTCCCCGCAGCTGTCACCAGGGTGGCATTGCCAGGGCTCTGCTATAGACAGCCCATCTACACGGGAGGACTTGGAATCTCAAACCTGAGGCTCCATTCATGCAGTTGCCTCCAGGGCCCTGAACGCTGCAGCACTTGTGCCCTGGGGGTTGTTTGCTATATATGATAGAAGCATTTTAAGGGCTTTCAATTTTCCAGTGGTATAAGGCCCTGCTGTGACCAAGAGGAAAGTAGGTACCATAAGGCCATGTTGCACTGGGATATTGTGGGCTGCTTGGCCTGCACTTGCCCGTTTCTTCTCTGGCTCCATAGTGTGCAGTGCTGAAGTCGCTAGTAGTGAGCTTTTGAGCCTCATTACCTATCTAGAGTACCGTGTGCTTCTGCAGCAAGCCACCTGTTAATGTCAAAAGAAACCCAGATTTGTGCATATTCGCTGGAGGCAATATATCCATTTTGGCTCAGATCGAGCTTGGTAATGTGAGTGATGACGATAACTCAGAGATCAGCTTGTTGCTGTTCTGTACTCTGTGGCATTCAGAACACCCTTTTATTGCAGCATTTATCTCTCAGTGGTTTAATTATCTACTCACTCAAATGCTTGTGCCTCTGGAGTCTGAGCTCCGAGTGGGAGTGGGAGCAGACAGCATTTTATCCATTGCTGTATGTCCAGTGCTCTGTATAGGAGCTAACACACAGCAATTGCTCAGGAAATATTTTCTGAACCAAAGGAATATCATCATTTGGATTCCGAGGAAAAGAAAACCTCATAAAACCTTGGATGAAAAGGTAATTTGCCAATGAAGTTTTCAAAAGCAGCTAGCAACAGGATGGCTCTGGTCCCATTGCTGCTGCAGACTCCCTGCCCAGTGCTCTCTCCTGTGCATGCTCTGCAGTCCTGAGCCAGAAGGCCCTGCAACAGACAGGCAGCCATAGTCCTTGCAGTGGGAGAAGAAGGCCAGGATTCATTGAATCTTGCCCAGCTCTCATAACCAAGATTTTTCCATTTGGTGTGTTGTCACAGATTGAATTACGTCCCCCAGGCCAGGAGTGGTGGCTCACACCTGTAATCCTAGAGCTTTGGGAGGCTGATGGGGGCAGATTACTTGAGTTCAGGAGTTTGAGACCAGCCTGGCCAACATGTTGAGACCCCGTCTCTGCTAAAAACACAAAAATTAGCCTGTGTGGTGGTGCACACCTGTAGTCCCAGCTACTGGGGAGGCTGAGGCAGGAGAATCTCTTGAACCTGGGAGGCAGAGGTTGCAGTGAGCTGAGATAGCCCTACTGCACTCCACCCTAGGCGACAGAGTGAGACTCTGTCTCAAAAAAACAAACAAAAAACTATGTCTCCCAGAATTATTGTCGACATCCTAACCCTCACTACTTCAGAATGTGGCTTTATTTGGAAATAGGGCCATAGAGTCATTGAAGATGTCATCAGCTAAGTTGGGGTTACATTGGAGCACGTGGACCCCTACTGCAATATGGCTGGTGTCTTTATTAGAGGAGGGAAATTTGTACATGGTAACAGAAAGGGAAGACAGAGGCAGAGATTGGAGTGGGGCTGTGACAAGCCAAGGAATCCCTGGGGCTGCCAGGAGCTGGCGGAGACCAGGAAGGATCCTCTCCCGGAGGCTTCAAGAGGGAGCATGGCCAGATGACACCTCAAGGACTTTTATCCTTTAGGACTGGGAGAACATTCAAACCCTCATTTATCCTTAGAATTGGGAGAACAGAATAAATCTCCGCTGTTCCAAGCCCCTGGGTTTGTGGTGCTTTGTTCCAGCGGCCCTGGGAAATAAGCACACATGGTTTGGTATTGCCTCCTCTCCTGTGCAGCCAGGGTTAATACGATAAAGAGGAAACCATGGTTTCTTAGTGAAATCCTTCTGCTTGAAAGACAAATTCAGCATCTGAGGACCTGGTTTGAGGTCTGGTTTGAATGTGGTCAAGAAGTGCAGCCTGTGGCAAATCCCTGAGCTTCTCTGAGCCTCGTTTTCTTCACCTGGAAAATAAAAATGACAATGTACACCCAGTGGGGCAGTTTTGACCTCAGATGAGAACGTGGGCGTGAGACTGCTTGGCTGGCCTGCAGCTGGGATGGGCCAGAAACGCTGCCCAGCCCAGCCCAGTCCAGAGTCTCCGTGTTTTCTCCCCTTCTATGTCTCCTTCCCCCATCTGTGGCCCTCTAATGGCTTTGGCATCTCTGTGGTCCATTTCCTGGAGGGTGTAAATTATTTATGGGACAGACATATCAGCCTGCAGGCGGAGGCCGCTGCATCAGACGCAGCATTGTGCCTGTAGGAGGAGGCTGGGGATCAGCCTGACCTGGCCCTGCTCCCCGCTTCCCACCCCCTAAAGGCTGCCTCCAGCCCTGTGCCTCCACCACAGGGACCTTGCACTGCTCCCCGGGGCTGTCCCTGGAGCCCTCCTCCCCTGGCCTCGGCCATGCACTCTGAGCCACTGGGTTTCTCTCTTGGAAGGAAGCTTGGCCTCTTACTGGCCATGAATAATAGATAAGCGCTTAGGGAAGGGGTCTGGTGAGGACACTCCCCTCGTTAGTGATCCTGATATCACCCCTGAGGAGCCCCCTCTCCACGCAGCTTCTGCCCCCAGCACACAGGCTTGGGCTGGGTTGGGTGTGGGAAGCAGGGTTTTTCGAACCATTGATAGAATGGCTGAGAAGAGGCTCTGAGCCCACTCAGGCTGCTGCCTCACTAGGGAGAGTCCAGAGTGACTCTGGTTACCCACCTGACGATGCACAGGATGGTTTCCCAGCAGGAAATGGTGTGTCAATATCCCTGTGCAGTTGTTCTTGGCCTGGGGGAGAGGAGGGAGGTAATGGATTCTTTTCAGTGTCCAAGGATGCTACAGATGCTCCCCAGAAACCGCACATGTGCACAAACACAAAGACTCGCAAGCAATCTCGGCAGGTCCCAGCAGGTCCCCTGACCTCCTTGCTAGTGGTCTCTTGTACTGAATTGAGCCCAGTTTCTGAATTCAGACAGACTCACATGTGAATCCAAACTTCACTAGCTCTCCACCCATCTGCCTGGGACACCTTCCCTGTAGCCTCTTCCTGCCTCAATCCTCAACCTTCAGGTCTCAGCAAAAGCCTTCTTGGGCTCCCAGGATGAGTTTAGGTTCTGGCACTCTTTATTTTTCTTTCCCTGACGTTTGTGACACTGGTTCTTATGGTTTTATTGTTGGTCTTCTCTACAAGGACAGCAGTCACTCTGTTTTCTTCACCACTGCATGCCAAGTGCTTAGCACAATGCTTCTTACCCAGCAGGCACTGAGCCAATATTAATCTTGGATTAGTCACTCAACTTTTCATACTACTCTGCCCACAGAAGGAATGGTCGGATCCACTTCCTAAAATAAAGCTAGGTTATATACCGGGAGAGGATTTCCGTTTATCTTATAATGACTTTGAGATGCATCCTTATTTTTATCTGGTCCCCTAAGCTTGGGGGTTTGTGGATCAGAGGTGATTTGCATGGTCCTACCCCATACAAACACTGGAGGCAGTATTTAGGACCCTCTGTCACTTACCATGGCTGACTAGTTCTGGCCTTTTTACTGGAGCAAGAGGAGTATACAGGTACTAGACATAGCTTTTCCTAATCAAGGAAAGGCATAATTAAACCCTGGATAAAGGAGATTGAAGAAGCTTTTCAGGTTGCTTTGTAGTTTACCAAGGGTCTGGGGCAGCAACGTAAGGGTTGAAACCACCTTGGGGGCAGAGTAGGGGACAGGAATGAGAGGGGAGAAATGAGATCACCACTTGTGAAGCTGCCATGGACCAGGGATGGTGCTGGGTACTTTCTTTATTAGGTTATTCATTTCATGTGGGCCCGGGGATTAAGTACTTTAATATCCATTTATAGAAGAGGACACTGAGGCTCAGAGTGGTCATATGCCTTGCCTGAGTTCACCTAGTTCATACACCGGGAAGGACGGGGCAGGGATAATATTTTAGCATGCCATGTGTGCTGAGCTTCTTTCTTTCAAATCACGTGTGCATTTTGTGAATGGTCTTGGCCACAAGTTCACATGCTGGGAGAAGTAGATATCACTGTGTCCATTAGATTGGTGAGGGGTGGTAATGCTTGAAGAAGTGAAGTGGCTTACTAAGGATTGCATGTCTCGGAGAGGCTGTGTGGCCAGGGAGGGAAAGACTGCTGGTTGAATGGAACCCGAATGAGTGTTCCGGGATATCGATTCATCCTGCCCTGCTCTCCTCTCCTTTGATGTGTCAGGCCTGAGAGCCCCTTAGCTGGGGAGCTCTACTGTCATCAAAGTATTGTCTTCTATAGGGACAACATTTTCCAATTTCCGAAGGACTTTTATATCTACTAGGCCCTGTAACCTCCAAACAGCCCTTCAGGGTAGGTACTATTGTTCACAGTTTAGAAGTGAGGAAACTGAGGCTCCACAATTTTGTGCAACCTGCACAGGGGCACACTGCTAGGAGGTTGCGGAGTTGGGATTCCCTCTGACCCATCTTCTGGTCTTCCACAGTCAAGGTCAACCCTGGACTGTGCAGGCCAACGACCTTGGTCTCCCTCTGATCTCCCGCTGCGCTGGGCTCGTTGTTCCTGGATGGAGGGTTGGCTCCCTCACTTTGTTAGCCCGACTGATAAGAGGAGAGCTGCTTTCCAACAAACCAGAGACTTGCTTGGGGTCGTGCAAAAGAAACATTGACTCCCTTATGTCACAAGGAGCCTGTGGGACCTTGGTTTGTGGCCACATCTCTGGATAGTGACTATCTGGAAATGTCTCGTTGGCTTCCTGCAGCATGCCAGGGCAGAGCGTCAGCCAGCCGTAGTAAGAAAACACACTCAAGTCACTTGTCCCTCACAGAGTACATAACCTTCACTCAAATGCAATTTAACAGCTGCCCAGAATGTATTTGTTTCTAACGTATCTTTTAAAATTTTCTTTGTGCTGCTAGATCTAACAGAAGTGATTTCTGCATGTGAGTGACTAATAGATCCTTTTACCTTGTGATTCATTTTTTCAAAAAAGATTTGCCAACAAAAATTGCATTTGGTATATAATAAAAGGAATGTCATAGAAGTTTGGAAACATAGAAAGATAATAGGTTGACTAATGAAGACCACAGAACACATCTAAGCTGTGGACCTCTGGGCAAAGATGTACCCCTTCTTAGTTTTCCTGTTTGTGAAAGTAGGGGGAAGGGAACTAGCTGACCTGGACACTATTCTGAGTGAGGTGCAAAATTTCATTTAATCCACACAGCAACCCCAGGGAGCAGGAGGTATTAGCATCTTTGGGGCTAATGGGGCTTCAACAGGAGGCTGGTAGGGTCAAACTGTCATTCCAGAGGAACCTTCTGAAGACTAGGTGGTGAGGGGGCTGGAGAGAGAGGAGACCAATATTAAATGGCGCCAGCAAAAGCTGATGAAGTCCTGAACCAAGGCAGGGAAGAGACGAGACCATAGATGTGGCTGACGCAAAAACGCAGCATCCATCAGGGAAGGTGTGAGGTCACCCAGGAAGACGTGACTTCTGAATAATGCGTGGACCAGGAGGACGTGGCTTCTGGGGGACCCCACACCTTCCCCGATGGATGCTGTGTTTTTGCATCAGTCAAGATGAGAAAATGAGGTTCAGAGTCTTCACCTAAAGTCTTATGAGTAGTAACAGAGGTGAGTGGGGGAGGAAGCACTTGTATTTGTCCGATTGCATAGACATGTGCTCCTGGGAAACCCTATACCTTCCCCGAGGGACACTGCATTTTTCATCAGCCACATCTATGGTCTTGTCTCTTCTCTGCCTTGGTTTAGGACTTCATCAGTTGTCCCTGGTGCCATTTAATATTGGTCTCATCTCTCCCCAGGCTCCTCACCACGTAGTCTCCAGAAGGTTCCTCTGGAGCCACCGTCTGACCCTACCTACCAGCCTCCTGTAGAAACCCCACGCTGGCTCCCAGTTGACCAGAAAAACAATTTTTAGTGTGGCATTCAAAACTTCTCACTTGTCCACAGTTTGCCTTTCCAACCTTTAAAATAAACACCTACATTTGCAAGAGTAATGCACTTTATGGAAGAAGATCTCATATATGTTAACCTCAGCAGCTTATTGTATCTCTTATTTTCAAGCCAATAGGTCCAGACACCATTTTCTAAACATTTGTATATATGTTTCTGCCTTGAGGCATTTCTTCATGAGCTTTCTTCTGCTTGAAATGTATTTTTCCTTAAATTCACATTTTCTTTTTCCTTCAATGACCCTTCTAATGGGCACCTTCTCCAGGAAGCATTCTATGGTCTCTGTGCCATGCCAGAATCCACTCTTTGATTTCCGCAGTACCACAGAATGCCAAGCTTTCGGAGGGGAAGATTTGTGTCTGAGCCACCGCCATCCCTCCCAAGACTCAGAAATGCCTCATGAAATGTTTGTTAAACCAAAACATTAGATAGCATTGAATTAATTTGTATCAATCAATACTATTGCTTTCTGAATGAATGCAAGTTGGGTTTAATAATTATTATTAACCAGGACTGTGAAATATAATAGAAATAAAGTGACCAGATCCTGGCAAGAGGAGGGCAGCGAAGATATGCCTCGTTGGGTGAGCTCTGGGGAAGGGTTTTCCATGTTCTCCATTGGAACTAAGGGTTTGAAGGGGCAGGTGTGGGGCCCCTCAGTCTCCAGGGCCATCCCTGCCTCTCCTTCAAGAACCTTCCAGAGCACTCATTAGCCCACATCCTGCCCCATTCAAATAGCACAGTGGTGCCCAAGTAATTTGACAGCAGAGGGATGGCAGAGGAATATTAAACATAATAGACATCCTGGTTGCTAAAAGGTAACCGTGTTTTACCATTGCTGCGCTGTCCCTGACTAGGTGCTCCTATGTGATCTGTTTTCTTTTTCACTTCCTTGTTAATTCTGAGGCGTTCCTTGACCTATCCTTGGCAACCTATGTGCCAAGGATTATAGTGTTGAAAAGATGGAGAAGGCAGTGAGGGAGAAGAAGAGGAGATGAAGAGTGGGAGAAGTGTTTATACTCAAACACACACACATGCATGTGCACACATACGTGTACACACATTGCATGTACACACATACACACACCTACGCACCTACACATACACACATACACACACACACACACACACATACACACACACACACACACCACGTCTATTGCCCTGCAGTTATTTGCAGTTGGTCTTGAGAGATCTGATGGGCAGGTGAAAAACTTAAGAACAGGATACCACAGTGAAGCACAAAATGCAAGGCCCCGCCTTAAGGGCTTTGCGAGTTCTGTGCACTCCTGAAGGGTGATGGAGCATAAGAGTGAGATTACCTGAAGGATTCATAGGATGCAGGCCCCTTTAAAGAGCTAGGGTCCTGGCAGGTTTCCATTCTTTGAACCGTTAAACTCTTAAGTCTCTCTCAGTTAATTGGCACAATGCAGCTTGCCCCTTTGGAAATGTGGAGCCCCCGTTGGGAGTGTGGAATGATGCCCCACTGGGGTCTAGAAGGCTGGGTTGGGCAGACCTGATGGTGGCTTCCTATGACAGGGGAGACCTGGGAGAAGACCCTGGGATCCGTCCTGCAGGAACGTGGAAAGCACAGCCTTTGGAAGTGCTCTTTGTCAATATCATCCCCTGCAGGGCTCGTCTGAACCTCTGCTCTGAACTGTGCATTTTTAGGTGTCTGTGTGTTGGGGGCGGTGACGCTGATGGTGTTGTGACTGTGGGAACTCTTTCCTCTCTCCTCTTCATGGCGTTACTTCATACAGCAATCTGCTCAGTTGTCACCTCCTCAGATTAGATCTTCCCTGGCACTCCATCTAGAATAGTCCCTCTCCCTGACTTTATTTTGAAGCATTTTAAGATGGCCTCGGTCGGGCGCGGTGGCTCACGCCTGTAATCCCAGCACTTTGGGAGGCCGAGGCGGGCGGATCACGAGGTCAGGAGATTGAGACCATCCTGGCTAACACGGTGAAACCCTGTCTCCACTAAAAATACAAAAAATTAGCCAGGCGTGGTGGTGGGCGCCTGTAGTCCCAGCTACTCGGGAGGCTGAGGCAGGAGAATGGCGTGAACCCGGGAGACGGGGGTTGCAGTGAGTAGAGATCGCGCCACTCCACTCCAGCCTGGGCGACAGAGCGAGACTCCGCCTCAAAAAAAAAAAAAAAAAAAAAAGATGGCCTCTTTTCCTGCAGCAGAATGTAAGTGTCATGAGGTCAGGGACTCTGTCTGTCCTGTTCACAGATGTGTCCTCAGCATAAGGAATAGTACCTGACACTTAGCAGATCCTGGATAATAACAAGAATAATTCCAAACTACCACTTGTACATAAATAATTACATGAAAGGCACAAGGCAGCTATCATTTTCTGACCATTTAAGTGTTCTATATATACTTTTTTGCATTGAATTCTCAAGACAAAGTAAGATATACAACACTAACCGCCTTTTTTTTTCATAGATAAGAGGCATTTAAGGCTTAGAGAAGTTAAGTGACTTGCCCAAAGCCACACAGCTGATACTTGGCTGAAGGAATAAAAGTGATTGGGTTACATATTTAAATTCCCCAGGGGGCAAAAATCAACTCAAAGTGGATCAAAAACTTAAATCAAAGACCTGAAATCATTAAAATCCTACAAGAAAACCTGGTAGAAACTCTTTCAGACACTGACCTAGGCAAAGAATTTACGACTAAGACCTCAAAAGCAAATGCAACAAAACAAAAAATAAATAAATGGGACCTAATTCAACTAAAAACCTTCTGCATAGCAAAAGAAATAATCATCAGAATAAACAGACAACCCACAGAATGTGAGAAAATATTTGCAAATTATGCATCTGACAAAGGTCTAATACCCAGAATCTATAAGGAACTCAAACAAATTAGCAAGAAAAAAAATCCCATGAAAAGGTAGACAAATGACATGAATAGACACTTCTCAAAATAAGATATATAAATAGCCACAAACATATGAAAAAATAATCAACATCACTAATCATCAGGTAAATGCAAATTAAAACCATAATGAGATACCACCTTATCCCAGCCAGAATGGCCATTATTAGAAAGTCCAAAAACAATAGATGTTGGCATGGATGTGGTGAAAAGGGAAGAGTTTACACTGCGGGCAGGAATGTAAATTAGTCCAACCTCTATGGAGAGCAGTATGCAGATTTCTTTTTTCTTTTTTTTTTTATTTCGAGATGGAGTCTTGATCTGTCACTCATGCTGGAGTGCAGTGGCGCGATCTCGGCTCACTGCAACTTCCACCTCCCAGGTTCAGGCAATTCACAGTGTGGAGATTTCTTAAAGAACTAAGAGTAGATTTACCATTTGACCTGGCAATCTCACTAATGGGTATTTACCCAAAGGAAAAAAAGTTATTATATCAAAAAGATACCTGCACACCTGTGTTTATAGCAGGACAATTTACAATTGTAAAGATGTGGGATCAACCTAAGTGCCCATGAACCAATGAGTGGATAAAGAAAATGTGGCATATATACACTATGGTATACTACTCAGCCATGAAAAAGAATGAAATGTCTTTTGCAGCAACTTGGATGGAGCTGAAGGCCATTATTCTAAGTGAAGTAACTCAGGAATAGAAAAGCAAATACAGTAAATTCTCACTTATGAGTGGGAGCTAAACTATGAGAATGCAAAGGCATTCAGAGTGGAATAATGGACATTGAAGATTCCGGAGTGTAGGAGGACCTGGGAGACAAAAAGTTATATATTGGGTACATGTACACCACTCAGGTGACAGGTACACTAAAATCTCAAACTTCAACACTAGCAAGATTGGTGCAGAGCAGCTGCGGGAGGCAGTGGTGTCGTCTGAGAGGGTCCTATGGACCAGCACCCCTGCCTGTAAATTCTTATTATTACCAGGTCTGCCTCATGGGCCTGTACAGGGTCTAAAGGGTAAACTTAGGAGCTATGATACACTGGCTGCACATGGGCAGGGCTGATGATGGCTGTGCAATGTCAGACGAACTTTGGATCTAATCTTGGTTCCGACACTTACCGGCTAGGTGACCGAAGCCTCAATGACCTCAGATGTAAAATGGTAAAATAATGATAAAGTTAAAAAAAAAAAAAGGCCGGGCGCGGTGGCTCACGCCTGTAATCCCAGCACTTTGGGAGGCCGAGACGGGCGGATCACGAGGTCAGGAGATCGAGACCATCCTGGCTAACACGGTGAAACCCCGTCTCTACTAAAAATACAAAAATTAGCCAGGCATGGTGGCGCGCGCCTGTGGTTCCAGCTACACGGGAGGCTGAGGCAGGAGAATGGCGTGAACCTGGGAGGCGGAGCTTGCAGTGAGTCGAGATCGCGCCACTGCACTCCAGCCTGGGCGACAGAGCGAAACTCCGTCTCAAAAAAAAAAAAAAAAAAAAAAAAAAAAAGCGAATGATTATATAATACACATTCTATAGGCAGGAACTGTTGGTATATGTGTATGTGTATTCATTTAATCCTCCCAACAACTTGATGAATTTAAAGCTGTTAAATTTTCATTTTACAAATAGAGGAACTGAGGCATAGAAAAGTTAAGTAACTTGACTTCTATCTGGGAATAGGTCTGGGATTCAAACTGGGCAGTCTGGCTGAGCATGGTAGTATATCACCTACTTCCCAGTGTTTGAGGTAGGTAAGAGGAGATAATGGGTGTAAGGCCCGAAGCACTGCTGGTGCTTTTGCAGCATACATTTAATTGCTTTTATGATGCTGCTGCTGGTTTTGCTGTAAAGATAGAGCTCATTTTAGAAAAACATGAGCCCCAAAGGCACGAATAACAACCTGACTTTCCAAATTATTCTCCTTCTTCTCCCCAACCATTTCCCACACTTACATCTTTCTTTATAGCTTTGGGAATATTTTAATGCTTTTAAAATGGACAAGTCACGAAGTTTAGTGTCTACTTTGACCCAACCTTCTCCAGTGGCATTTAAGGACCCAGAGAAGTAGAGAGAATGTGGCCAGGCATGGGAGCGTCCATATTGCCTGGGGCCGTGTATGCGTGCAGTTCTGTCAGTAATTCTACGTGTATGCAGACATGCCTTTCTTAATAAAAATGCAGTTGGATGGTGTGTTCTGTTTCTCTCTTCATTGCTTCCTCTATCTACCCTTGATGGAGAACGGTCTTTAGCATGCTTACTTACTAGTGTTATCCAATGAGGTCAATATTAGCAAGGGAAATGAATTATAGGTGCTTTACTCTGAAGGGTATGAAAGATTAGAGTGAACCTTTCAGCAGGATAGGGATGGGGGTGAGGTAAGTGAGGTGCGGAGGGTGCACCTAGGGACTGGTTGCACCTTGAGAGAGATGCACCTTAAATTTTGCGCCCTAGATGCTTCTGGCCTCACTGGAATCCCTAGCCCTGGGTTTCACGACCCACCAGGAATAGAAACTGTGGCTACTAACAAAGATCTGTGTAGCCTGGACCTCACAGGGAGCTCCAGGAAGAGGTGCTTTGCAGGCAGGGCAGAGGGGCCCAGAAACAAGAGATTGCCTGTCTATGGGCCACTGAGTGACTCCATGGGCAAGACACTGTTTGTATGTTAGGCCCTGGTCTTTGTGTGTTTGGGATCGGCCAATAATTCTTCCTGGTGGCATTGTACTTGTGTTCACTTTCACACTTTGAAGGGTGTCATGGAAGAGACACCAACACATAAATGAAATGAAATAAACTAAAACAAAATAAAATATCCAAGCCATCCCTGCCTGGCAGCTTCAGTCTCCTACTGCTGCAGTGGAAGGTGGCCTTGACTGTCCCCAGGAATCATCTCTGTGTGGTGGGGGGTCACCAAACAATGCTCCACAGAGCATGAGCATTTGAGGTCCTACCTCTGATTGAACCCTGGTGCCCACAGTTTTACCAAGTTGTATACATTGGGATTCTGGACATTTGCTTTAATTTTCCATGTGGCTAAGAAAACAGTTTGAATCACTGTCCTAAGAGATATCTTATTAATTGCCTTTGAGGACACCTCTTGGCCTCCAGATGGCCCAGCTCCCCTTTCTTGCTCTGATCTGTGCAGGACAAATGAGTATTGCCTTCAGCCATTACAGTTAAGACCAGGTTGTTGTAGTCAGACAGACCTTACTCATAATGTCTCAGGGATAACACCAGGGATGCAGACATGTAAAGACTTGTGTGGAGGTAGCCTGACTCACAAGGCCTACCCATTCACTAGGACTAGAAAATTCCAGGCCACCCCAGCTCCCTATCTCTTGGGCACTGTCTCAGTTTCTACCCAGGAGCTCTCCTCAGCTCAAAATATGGCCCTGAGACAGTGACACCTGGAGAACCCTGAAGTTCATGGAAAGCAATTCCCTCTGCTTTTTCCCCAAGGCTTGGATTCTGTGTCAGAGTGTCCTGTGTGAGCCCCACTTCTTCCTAGGATGACTAGCATGGGCATGTCTGTTAACTCCTTCCAGGGAAGACCCTTCCTATGCACTGGGGTGTAGCCATAGAGATCCCTATAGTGTAGTTCTCAGAATACAGCCCAGCTGTGTCCACTTTCAAACAAAACACCCACCCAGCCACGCCCACACACACCCTGGCAGGAGGTGCTCCCTCTTACTAGTTCATTATTACCAGGGTCACCATACATTCTAGCTTGCCTGGGACAATTCCATTTTGTGCCTATTGCCTGGGTGTAAATCAATAGCTCCCCTGTTACTCCCAAAGTGTCCTGATATGGTTTGGCTGTGCCTCCATCCAAATCTCATCTTGAATTGTAGCTCCCACAATTCCCATGTGTCATGGGAGGGACCCAGTGGGAGGTAGTTGAATCATGGGGGTGGGTCTTTCCCATGCTATTCTCATGGTGGTGAGCGAGTCTCATGAGACCTGATGGTTTTGTAAAGAAGAGTTTCTCTGCACAAGTTCTCTTTCTTTGCCTGCTACCGTGTAGGATGTGACTTTGCTCCTCTTTCACCTTCCACCATCATTGTGAGGCTTCCCCAGCCATATGGAACTGTGAGTCCATTAAACTTCTTTCCTTTATAAATTGCCCAGTCTTGGGTATGTCCTTATTAGCAGCATAAGAACAGACTAATACATGTCCCATTTGGGGTGATAAATTGTACGTTACCCTAATTATCATTGTTATGATGAGAGAGCTTCCTGACCCTCAGTGCTCAGCAGAAACCTTACTCTCTCCAGGAAGCCCTCCTACCAGATACCTTGAGCTGATCTGCTCTTCCAGGCAACTAACTACCAAAGTGTTTAGGCATTTTCTCCAACCCCACTCCTTTACCAGTCTTTCCCATACTTTATTCACTCAAGTATTTCATGCCCCTCTACAATGTACCAGGGAGTAGTGAAGGCACCAGGGAAAAACACGAGTACCAAAAGGAAGACTGACAGGAAGTCTCTAGCTATATCTACTTATTTATAGTATACACTGATAATAAAGACATGCACACATACATATGTATTTTTAATATATACTTTATCATATTTTATGTTATTAATATTTTTATATTGTTTATATTATATATTATAATAACATATTATATGTTTATAATATATATTTATATGATATATACACACACACACACACACACACACACATATATATGTATAAATGCTTCCTGATGATAAGGACTGTGAAAAAGGGAGAACCAGGCTGAGGTGAGGCAGGAGGGATGGGAATGTGTGTGCTGTCTTTTATGGAATGGGCAGAGCTGGTTTCTCTAAGAAGGTGATATTTGAACAGAGGCCTGATTAAGTGAGGGAGTGACTTTGATGTGGAGAAAGCATTCCAGGACAAAGAACTTCATGTGCAAAAGCCCTAAAAAGGGAGGAACAGCAAGGTCACTTGTAAGGGAGAGGCCACTGGTGTGCACATGGATTGGGAGTGTCTGAGGCTGTCTTCCTCAGGCCAGGCACTGATGCCCACATCCCGAGGACCTTGGTGAATGTTGATTGGTTGATGATTGATAGTTCACACATCCCTGTGGTTTTCTTGGTCACTGCGGCACTGGGTCAAAGCTTCGTGGGTCAGCCTGTTTCTAACCACACCAGTGTGGCTGGACTGTTGACCTCTTGTTATGGGCGATGGAGGTTCCCACATGATCTGAACCCCAGGGCAGAAAGGCCCATGCCACCTCTGTGCAGCTGAGCCCACTCCACAGAACTACCCGAGGCAGAGATCTCAGTGACACACCATCTTCACTCGACACCATTCTGTATAATTTTATAAAGCCATACAACAGGCTGTGTATTCAGAAGGCAGAGAGTGTGGCTGAGACCTTAAGAGAAGTCCCATAGTATATGTTTGCTTCAGGATGTTACATTTGTTAATATTGCATTCTTGTCTGATGGTGTATTTCAGTAGGTGTTCTCTGGACAATATAGACTTTAAAGTTGATTGTGTTTCTCCTCTGCACTGGCAGCCAGGAAGCTCCTTGTCAACCCAGAGGCTCATCGGTGATAACTGAGCAGGAACAACCAGCATGAACTCCTGTGAATGAACCCTTCCTTGGTTTCAACTTACCATTCTACTCTTTCTTTTCTCCTGTGTTAAGTTTTCATCTTAGTAAACCAGTTTAAGCCTCCTTGAAGTGGTCTAGATCTTAAATTTATCCCTAAGCAAATCACTTTTCTAGACACTTTTATTTGTAAATAAGTTTTTAGCACCTACTATGTCAAAAGAAGTATGTTAGGCTGAGTGGCTCATGACTATAATCCCAGCACTTCAGGAGGCTGAGGCAGGCAGATCACCTGAGGTCAGGAGTTTGAGACCAGCCTGACCAACATGGAGAAACCCCGTCTCTACTAAAAATACAAAATTAGCTCGGTGTGATGGCACATGCCTGTAATCCCAGCTACTCGGGAGGCTGAGGCAGGAGAATCGCTTGAACCCGGGAGGCAGATTGCGGTGAGCCAAGATCACACCACTGCACTCCAGCCTGGGCAACAAGAGCGAAACTCCGTCTTAAAAAAAAAAAAAAAAAAAAAAAGAAGTATGTTAGGCTCAGAAGGAAGGACTCTAAGTGTTTCAGAGTCCCTGCCCTCCAGCTGAAGTTCCTATTCTATTTGTCTGTCTATTTCTCATGGGTCAGATCTCAATGAATGCAGCATTCTACAGAACGAAGAAACTGACCTCTAAATTCCATCCCTCAAAAGGATTAACTATTAGCATAATTTACTTTGTTTTAATAATGGTTCTGAGCCTAGTACCTGCAGAGAGGAAATAGATTTTTTTAAAAAGAAGATGGTTGGGTCGTCATTACTTCAACATGTCTGCTTGTGTCTTTGTCTTGAAGGGAATTAAGAACCTTGGTGTGAGTTTTTAAATGTCTGACCAACCATCCCCCACACTTTCACCCAACATGGCCACAAAGGAAGGTTGAAACTAATTCAAACCAGCACTCAGCTGCCTCATACAGTCCTATGCATGAGGGGGGAGGGAAGGGGTTTGGGGAGAGAATATATTGAGATCTGCCCTTTGATCGTGTTCAATGCGACTTTGCATTTACCTGAGGGATTAAAAGTTCTCATTGACCAAGGCTCCTGGCTTCCTACTCAGCCTTTGACGGGACAAGTGTTAATTGGACAATATAATAGGGACAATGTTAATTCCCCTCTTAGAGTTCCTTTTCTTGTTCAGTCAAATAGAAAGGCCCTTTTAAATGGCAGAGAGAGGAAGAAAGGAGCTGGTTTATAAGGGTAATAGACTGCACATCTTCCCCCTTGTCTCAAAACAAGTGCAATGGAGTCAGCATAAAGGCAGGCCCCTGAACAGGGAAAGAAAGGGAAACGACGTGGTGGTTTGCCTGGAATGTCACCCTGGATTAGGGATCAGGGAAATACAGCCAGTAGGTTCTGTCTGTTTTTATAACAGCAGT
Source organism: Homo sapiens (assembly GCF_000001405.40). Lineage (NCBI taxonomy): Eukaryota > Metazoa > Chordata > Mammalia > Primates > Hominidae > Homo > Homo sapiens. Next base: position 33,866 of record NW_021159988.1, read on the forward strand.
GGTGGTGGGGAGGGATCGAGGGTAAGGAGGGGGCAAGAGTTGCAGAGGGCAGAAGCTCATGAGACTCAGGGGTAGGGGAAGGGCAGGATAGTGGGGGTGGTGGATATGTGGCAGGGGGTGACAATGATGATTGAATGTAAACAATCAGAAACCCGATGGGACCCCCTGAGCATTTGGGCTGATGCTGATGTTCCCAAACACCAGAGAGTTCACCACTGTGCATGGAAGATGGGCATGAGTCAGGGATTCTAGAAGTAACACTGCTTTTAGGAGTTTCTGTAATTAGAATCTTCCTCTTGCCAGATCTCAAAATAGATGGATGTTGAGTTCCCTCTGGGTTCTGGGAGCCACCTCCCTACTCCCTCACATGCACGGGAATCAGGATTTCCCTGCCAGCTTCCATCTCTGCCCTGTCCTTATGATTGGTTTCTCTCCTAACAAAGTCTTCTTCCCATTGAACTCCAACTCCGACGCTTCCCTCAGCTCTGGTTTTTATGAATGATGACTCTGGCCTATTCAGTTTTTTATTTGATCATTTACTCAATAAAAAGTTTCTAGGCATCTCTTATGTGGTAGGTACTTGACTGTGTGCCCTTGAACAAGTTACTTAAACTTGCTGTGCCCCATACACTTGGAGATGGGAATAACTGACTTGGCCTAGAGTTTACAGGATTCTCTTTGGGATCAATGGAGATAACGGATGGAAAAAATGTCTTATAAACTGTAAAACATGTAAAATGAATTATTCTCTTTCTTATGTTTATTCACTGGCAAGATAAAAGGAATGCAAAAGTGGTGAGGAAAAAAGACGATCTGTGTTAAAAGACAAGCTTGCACTTGTTAGGCATGACGCAGTACAGGTAAGGCCGGAATGGTCAAAGTGGGCTGCGGCTGTCCAGGCTAAGTCACCTGAAGTCCTTTCCATGCTCTTCTTTTCTGGCACTAAGGTTTTCTGTCAGAAAATGGACGGGTTGAGCTGCCTCTCTGATGGAGCATTTATGATCCTACCTGGGTTGGCCTCTTTCCAAGTTTTTATGTGCAAGTCTTTCTTGATAACCACATCAATTTGAGATAATTTGAGACTTGCAAACAGAAATGAAATCTGCAGCTTTTAACCAAATTAATTATTCTTTTGGTTTCAGGGTTGATCAAGAAAAGAGAAGTAGCTGATCCCCCATATTGTAAGGTCAAATCCTGGAGAAACTCCTCAAACTTATGAAGGTCCTATTTTATAGTAAAAGAGCAGGAAAAGGTAGGGGAGGCCAAGCTTCACTTGATGAACCTGGAGTGATTTCCCTCAGGTAGCAAGGGGGCGGTACTTGTGATTTATCTGTTATTTCTTAGTTCTACACACTTCTTTTTATATTCTCTTGGAACTAGAAGTCTGCAGACTCCATTTCTTAGGTTTCTTTGCCAGCAGGCTTCTGTCTGCTTCTGCCAGTAGGCGATGCAGATGGGAGATTGACCAGAGAGGGAAGGAAGAGAAAGATTCTGCTGTGACTCAGACAGGATGGTGTTGCTGGCCATGCTGCCGGCTGATGTCATGGCAGCAGGAGAGGGTGCCTGGCTAGAAAGAACCAGTGCCTTTTCAGCAGCTGCAGCTCTAGTTGAGAAGATGCATCTTTGGCAGATCCAGAAGCCACTGAGACACCATCCCAGAACTCAGCAGTGAGAGCGGGCTCTGACCTCTGAGTATGTCCACCTCTTCCTTTTGGTCTCATGAATGCCAGTTGATTCTCTTTTTTGCTCTTCCAATTCTTCCAAACCTTTTGTAACCAATTTCCTGTACTAAATTCCCTCCATTTAAAACTGAAGAGCAAATGATTTTTTACTAATACGAAGACTACACAAGAATTATTCACCTATGGTGCTCTTAGGGCTGAGAAGACAGAAATTCCTCCACACAGGTGAGTCCAGGAACTTAGTTAAGGCCCACTCCTTGCTGACACTAAAACTTGGGGTGATTCCCTCCACCTCCCTGAGCCTCAGTTCTCCCATCTCTGAAATGCACAAAATAAGTTCGGGTCTTCATTCTTCATGGTAGTGAGTTGTTACTCACAAACGGACCAGCCCTGTGTGCTGTCCATGATCTCAGCATTTGGAGCACCTGAGGGCATCTGGGCGCACTTGAACCTGGCACAGTTCCTCACCAACCCATCTTCATGCATTTGCTCCATCATCTGGTATCTGGCCTTTGACAGGGCTCTTTTCTGCTCTGGGCTGAAAGCTGCACACTTCAGACTCACAAGCCTTTAAATATTTCATAGCAGACTGGCTGGGAATTAATATTTAATCACAGACTCCTTGGCACTTAAATATTTAATCACTGATGTGGCTGATAAGTAATGAATCAGCGCCCAGAAAAAACTTTTGGTCTCTGGTGCCAGTTTTAAAGGATCTTCGGTTCTGGTCTCAGAGAACAGATAGATACTTGACAAGTTTATTTCTATACCAAGTTTACTCACATTTAATATTTTTAAGTGTCAAAAAAATTTGCTTCAATACCAACCTGAGACTTTGGATCAGAAAATCTCATTGTGGAAGACCATAAGCCATTAGGAATAGCCATGGATGGTTAAAGTAATAAACATTTGTGTCAGTTCACAACCTAAGAAAAGAGAGGTGCTGGGTATGACATAAAGATATCCTCAGAGGTACAAGAGTCGGGGTGGGAGTGGGAAACAGAACTCCTTATATTTCCAGTGGTGATTTAAAGTATGGAGTGAAGAGAAGGTTTCAGGAAAAAAAAACAAAACAACAAAAAAACAAAAAAAGAACAGAAATTCTTGGAGTCAAAAGAGTAGGTAGAGAAAAAAGAAAAAAGTGAAGTGGGAAAAATTCATGGAGCTCCATGTTGAAAAAGTAAGGGACGTGAACATTGTGAGTTGAACATCAGAGACTGCTGATATTCATGTCTGTGGTAACAACAGCTCCATCACCAGAAAGAAGGATGTTTCTAGAATTCAGCTTTAAAGGACTTTATTTCTCAACAGTGGCAGATACCCATCTTCATTACCCAACAGTCATTGTCCTCATTCCTCCTTATTCCTAGTAGAGCCCTAAATTTGTTCACACACTCACCCTTCCATATGCTTTGGGGAGAGGGACATTCTGTTGCCTAGGATGAATGCTGATTAATCTAACTGACCAGGGAAGCTCCATTCCCCTTTCTTGTCACTCCTTTACCCATGGGTGTGTAATGCAATTCTGACCAATACAGTATGAAGGGTATGAAGGAAAGCAGGGACACCTGATCAAAGGGCCTCTAGGGGAAGTATTTCTCACTGAACAAGAGGCACAGGAGGAGGACTTACCTTCCTGCCTGTGGGTGAGATTGTGTAGAGTTGTGGGGCAGTGAATTTGCTATCGTGAGAAGACAAGCTGAATACCAAAGCTCAAGATGGTGGAGAAGAAAAATGGAAGCACCTGGTCCTAGTGCTACTAAATTGACCAACTATAAAACAAACCCTACCTTTAGGCTTCTTGTTATGTGTTTCAGCTGCTTCTGAGTGTTTCATTATTTGTAGCCAAGAGTATCTAATTAATGGACCACATGAATAAGGGAGGTGGCAAGATAAAGATTAAAGGCAAATAAGGAGTAAATGAGAAACTGTTTCACACCCATCAGATTGGCTAATAATTAAGCCTGATACACGCTGACCTTGGGTGAGCAGTGCAGCCACGGGACCTCTCCTACACGGCCAGCGGAAGTGTAACCTGCTCGATAACTTCAGGGAACCAGTTGGCAGCATCCAGTGAAGCAAGAGACGCAAGGAATCCACGATCAAGCAATTCTCCTCTGTAGCTTAGAGCTAGAGATACTGTGGTCCATGGATGGAGAGAAACATCGATAGTCATGCTTATTACAGCATTCTTTGTGATAAAGGAAATTGGAATAATATATATTCTATATAATAATATAGAATATATATTATATATAATAATACAGAATATTATACTATATATAATAATATATAATATAATATTAAAAATAATAATATGTAATATAATATTAAATATAATAATATATAATATAATATTAAATATAATAATATTTAATATAATAAATATAATAATATATAATATTGTATTATACATAATAATATATAATATTATATTATACATATTATTACATATAATACATAATAATATATAATATATTATATATTATGTATTATATCTAATATATATCTAATGTATAATATCTAATATATTATATACTACATATTATATCTAATATATTATATACTATGTATTATATCTAATATATTACATACTGTGTATTATATCTAATATATTATATATTATGTATTATATCTAATATATTATATATTATGTATTATATCTAATATATTATATATTACGTATTATATCTAATATATTATATACAATGTATAATATATTATATTATATATTATGTATAATATATATATTATATATTGTACATTGTATAATATATATAATATATTATACATTACGTATAATATATTTTATATTATATATAATATATAATATGTTATATTATATTATAATATATATTATATATTATGTATACTATATGTCATATATTAAAATATATTACATTATATCATATATAATATATTAATATTACTATATTAATATTAAATTAATATAGTAATATTAACATTAATATAAAATTAATATATAATATTAAAATTGATATATAATATATAATGTATTATATATTATGTATACTATATTATATAATATTAACATAATGTAATTAATATAATATAATATATTATAATATATTATTTTATATTTATTGTATTACAAATATATTATATTTATATATAATACAATACATATATTTATATCAATATATAAATATATACATTTATATAAAATATAATATATTATATTATATGATACTATACTATATTATGTGATAATATAAATATTTGTAATAAAGGTATAAATATTTATATTATAAAAATATATTAATTTATTATATTCATATGAATATAATATAATATAATTAATATTACATAAAATTAATATATATTATATTATATATTATATTGTATACATTATAATAAATAATATATGATATAATATTGTACTGCATATTATATAATAATATGTGATATAATATTATCTTATATATTATATAATAATATGTGATATTATGTTATATTATATATTATACAATAATATATATTATATTATATCATATATTATATAATAATATAAATTATATTATATCATATATTATATATTATATAATAATATATGATATTATATTATATCATATATTATATATTATATAATAATATATGATATTCCATTATATACTACATAATCATATATATTACATTATATATTATATAATAATATATAATATTATATTATATATTATATAATAACATATGACATTATATTATATAATATATAATTATGTATCATATTATATCATATTATATATTATATAATAATATATTATATTATATCATATATTATGTAATAATGTATTATATTATATCATATATTAATATTAATATGTTAATATTTTATCAATAATTTATATTACTAATTATAATATATAACATATAATTACATTATATTAATACTTTAATATTATGTATTATATATTTTCTTATATTAATATTTTAATATTATATATTAATTTAATATTAATAAATTACTATTAATATGTTCACATAATATGATATATTATATTATATATTATATGCTATATAATTATATGTTTTATATTATTATAAATATTATATAATGTATATTATATATTATATATATTATATAATATATATTATATAATATATATAATATATATGATATATATTATATATAAGATGTAATATATAATACATATATAATTATGTTATCTATTATGATATATTATATAATTATATATCTTGTTCATTATATGTATTATATAATCTATAATAAAAATATAATATATTACATAATTATATATAATATATGTTATATAATTATTATATTATATATGTATATATGTATAACTATAATATATAATATGTAATTATATATGATTATATATAACTATATAATTATACAGTTATATATAATTATAATTATATATATAATATTATATATAATTATATTATATATTATTATATATGTTTAATTATAATATATAATAATATGTGATATATATAACTATATATAATTATATAGTTATATAAAATTATAATTATATATAATATAATTATAATTACATTTTATATTATTATATATAATAAATATTATACATTATATAATATATATTATATATAATATATTGCATATTATATATTATAGATTATATGTATTATATCGATTATATAATATGTTATATATTGTATAATATATAATATATTATATACTATGTATTATACATTATATGCAATTATTATATTATATTATATATTATATTATAATATACTATATATTACATTATATATTATATTATAATATACAATGTATATTATATTATATATTATATTATAATATACAAAGTATATTATATTATATATTATAATATAATATACAATGTATATTACATTATATATTATAATATAATATACAATGTATATTATATTATATATTATATTATAACATACTATATATTATATTATATTGTATTATAATATACTATACATTATATTATATTGTATTATAATATAATTATATATTATATTATATTGTATTATAATATAATTATATATTATATTACATTGTAGTATAATATACTATATATTGTATTATATTGTACTTTAATATAATTATATATTATATTTTATTACAATATAATTATATATTACATTATATTGTATTATAAAATAACTATATATTATATTATATTGCATTATAATATAATTATATATTATATTATATTGCATTATAATATAATTATATATTATATTATATTGTATTATAATATAATTATATATTATATTATATTGTATTAAAATATAATTATATATTATATTGTATTATAATATAATTATATATTATATTGTATTATAATATAATTATATATTATATTGTATTATAATATAATTATATATTATATTATATTGTATTATAATATAACTATATATTATATTATATTGTATTATAATATAATTATATATTATATTGTATTATAATATAATTATATATTATATTGTATTATAATATAATTAAATAATATATTATACCGTATTATAATATAATTATATAGTATATTATACCATATTATAATATAATTATATAATATATTATACCATATTATAGTATAATTATATATTATATTATACCGTATTATAGTATAATTATATATTATATTATACCGTATTATAGTATAATTATATATTATATTATACCGTATTATAGTATAATTATATATTATATTATACCGTATTATAGTATAATTATATATTATATTATACCGTATTATAATATATTTATATATTAGACTTTATTATAATATAATTATATATTATATTATATTGTATTGTAATATAATTATATATTATATTATGTTCTATTACAATATAATTATATATTATCTTATGTTGTATTACAATATAATTATATATTATCTTATAATTTATAAGACATAATAATATAATATATAATATATAAGATATAATATGATACAAGATATCATATATAAGATATAATATATAATATATAATATGTAGGATATAATATTATATAATATATAATATGTAAGATATAATATTATATTATATATTATATAATATATAATATGTTATTAATATATATTATATTATATAATATATAATATATCATATATAATATTAATATATTATATAATATTATATATAATATTAATATTTTGTATTATATTATATTATATATGATATATTATATAATATTCTACTATATATTATATAATATATAATATATTATACAGTATTATATAATATAATATTATATAATATTATATTATATAGTATTATATATCATATCATATATTATCTTATATAGTATTACATAATATAATATTATATGATATATTATATAATATAATCTTATGTAATATAAATATATATTATATATACATATATACGTATATATACATATATACATACATATATATGTATATATACATATATATGTATATATAATATATAATATTTTATATTATATTATATTGTATATAATATAATATATGATATTATATATTATATTATATATTACAATATATAATGTATACTATATAATTATATCATATATTATATATTATAAGATATAATGTATAATATATATTATATATTATAAGATATAATGTATAATATATATTATATATTATATTACATAAGCTAATAATATATTAATTATAATTATACATAATATATAATTATATATATAACTTATATTATATATTCTATATTATTTATATCATATATTATATATTATATATAGTATATTATATATTGTATATATTATATATTATATATTCTATATTGTATATATTATATATATTATATATTATATATACCATATTGTATATATTATATATATTATATTTTATATATTATATAAATTATATATTATATGATATATAATATTATATAAATTATATGTTATATAATATATAATATTATATATTGTACAATATATAATATATATAATATACAATATGTATTATTTATTATATGATATATAATATATATAATATACAATATCATATAAGATATGTAATATTTAATATATAATATTATATATTCTATATTATATAATATATATATTCTAAAATATATGTAGTATATATTCTATAACATATATATTATGTATTATATAATATTTAATATTATATATTATACAATATATAATATCATATGTTATATATTATACTATATAATATATAATATAAGATTATATTATCTATAATATATAATATATAACATATTATATTATATAATATATAATATATAACATAATATTATATTACATGTAATATATAATATATAATATCATGATATAATATATAATACATAATATATAATATACGAAATAATATATAATATATAATATATAATATGATATGATATTTTATATAATATATAATATATAATATAGTATGATATTACATATAATATATAATATATAATTTAATATTATATTATATATAATATTATATAATGTATAATATAGACTATAGTATAATATAATATATATTATAATATAATATATAAAATAATATAATATATAATATTGTATAATATGTAATATATAATATTACATATTGTATGATATATAATGTTATATAATATATAATATTATATATTATATAATATATAGTAATATATAATATATAATGTAATATAATATATAATATATAATATAAGATATAATATTATATGCTATATGATATATAAGATATGATATCATATAATATATAATATGTAAGATATAATATTATATAATATATAATATGTAAGACATAATATTATATAATATATAATATGTAAGACATAATATTATATAATATATAATATGTAAGATATAATATTATATAATATATAATATGTAAGATATAATATTATAATATATATTATATATAATATATAATATAATATCTATATATAATATAATATTGTGTTATATATTATATATAATATATAATATAATATTAATATATAATATAATATTATATATAATATATAATATAATTTAATATATAATATTATGTTATATCATATTTTTATTATATAATATTATATTATTATATTACATATATAATACATTATATTATATTTATATAATATATACTTTATATTATATACATAATATATAAAATATATAATATATTATATTTTATATATATTATATATTATATATATTATAAATATAATATATCATATATGATATATTATATCTTATATATATAATATTTAATATATGATATATGATATATTATATATTATAATATATAATGTATAATATATGATATATGATATATTATATATTATAATATATAATGTATAATATATAATTATATTATATATTATATATTGTATAATATATAATATTATATAATTATATACTATATAATAATATAATATATAATATATAATATATAATATATGTTATATACAATATTTTATTATATTATATAACATAATATATAATATAATTTTATATTATACATTATTTATTATAATATATAATATAATATATAATATAATTATATAGTTTACATTATATATTATATTATATATAATATAATATAATATAATATAAAATATTATATATTATATTATATATAATATAATATAATATAAAATATTATATATTATATTATATATAATATAGTATAATATATAATATTATATATTATATGTAATATAATATAATATAATATAAAATATTATATATTATATGTAATATAATATAATATAAAATATTATATATTATATGTAATATAATATAATATATATAATATATTATCTAAATTATATATTATATAATATATATCATATATTATATATAATATTATATACAATATATATTATATATAATATATAATATATATCATATATTATCTATATTATGTTATATATAATATATAATATTGTATTATAGATTATATTATATATAATAAATATATATAATATAATATTATATATTATATTATATCTAATAAATATATATAATATAATATTATATATTATATAATATTATATATAGTATAGTATATATAATATATTATTTATGGTATTGGATATAAGATATTATATTGTATATAATATAATATATAATATATCATATTGTATACAAGATAATATATAATACATCATATTGTATACAATATGATGTATTATATATTATCTTGTATACAATATGATATATTATGTATTATCTTGTATATAATATGATATATTATATATTGTATTGTAAATAATATGATATATAATATATTATATTGTATATAATATGATATATAATATATTATATTGTATATAATATGATATATAATATATTATATTGTATATAGTATGATATATAATATGTATAATATAAGATAGTATAATATGGAATATATTATATATAATATATACTATAATAATATATAATTTATAATATTTATTTATATTTTTATATAATATATAAAACATATATTTTATATAATATATATAAAACATATATAAAATATATTATATTATATAATATATATAAAACATATTTTATATAATATATAACATATATAAAACTTGTATTATATATATAATGTATGTATAAAACATATTATATATATATAATATATATATATAATTTTTTGGGGGGGTGGAGTCTCACTCTGTCACGCAGGCTGAAGTGCTGTGGCACCATCTTGGCTCACTGCAACCTCTGCCTCCCAGGTTCAAGGGATTCTCCAGCCTCAGTCTCCTGAGTAGCTGGGATTACAGGTGCCCACCACTGTACCTGGTTAATTTTTTGTATTTTTAGTAGAGACGGGTTTTGCCATGTTGTCCAGGCTGGTCTTGAACTCTTGACCTCATGTGATCCACCCACCTCGGCCTCCCAAATTGTTGGGATTACAGGCATGAGCCACCGCACCTGGCCATCTATATTTTTGAGCATATCTGAAATAGTTCTTTAAAAATCCCCGGAGACTGGGATTACTGGTTAGAGTCAGTGGAGTGCAATTCAACAGAGATAAACATACAGTCCTGGGCAGTAATGTGGCGAGTTCTGTTTACAAGTGTGGAATGAGAAGTTTCTCTGTGCTGCATAGGGACATCCCACAGCAGCAGTCAATGAGGTGTATCTGTGGAGAATGTCACACAGAAAGTGAAATAAAATCCAAGAATCCAATCAGATGCAGAAAATGAGGATACAAAATAGTGTAGAAGGAAAGGACTAAAAGATTGGCTAGTTTGGATGCTTAATGAAACATGAGAATATCTTTTTGTTTGTATGTTTGTTTGTTTTGAGAGGGAGTTTCACTCTGTCGCCCAGGCTGGAGTGCAGTGGCGCAGTTTTGGCTCACTGCAACTTTGCCTCCTAGGTTCAAGTGATTCTCCTGCCTCAGCCTCCCGAGTAGCTGGGACCACAGGAGTGCACCACCATGCCTAGCTAAATTTTTGTTTTTTAGTAGAGATGCGGTTTCTCCATGTTCGTCAGGCTGATCTTAAACTCCTGACCTCAGGTGATCTGCCCACCTCTGCCTGCCAAAGTGCTGGGATTACAGGCGTGAACCACTGTGTCTGGCTGTTTGTTGTTTTTTGAGACAGGGTCTCACTCTGTTGCCCAGGCTGGAATGCAGTGGTGCGATCACAGCTCACTGCAGCCTTGACTTCCCGGGCATACGCCATCCGCCCACCTCAGCCTCCCAAGTAGCTGGGACTACAGGTGCAGGCTACCATGCCAAGCTAATTTTTGTATTTTTAATAGACACGGGGTTTCACAACGTTACTCATAGCTGGTCTTGAAATTGGGGGCTCAGGTGATTCACCTCCCTAGGCCTCCCAGAGTGCTGGGATTACAGCCACGAGCCACCGTGTCCAGCCTGTTTGTTTGTTTTTGAGATAGGGTCTCGCTGTGTCAAGCAGGCTGGAGCACAGCAGCACAATCACAGCTCACTGTAGCTTTGACCTCCTGGGCTCAAAGGATCCTTCCACCTCAGCGTCCTGAGTAGCTCAGAGTACAGACATATACCATCCCACTTGACTAATTTTAAAATTGTTCGTAGAGACAGGGGTTGTCTCTATGTTGTCCAGGGTGGTCTCCAACTCCTGAGCTCAAGCGATCCTCCCAGCTCAGCCTCCCAAAGTGCTGGGATTACAGGCATGAGCCTCTGCGCCCAACCTCAGAAAATAGCTTTATTTTTATTTGCATTTGCTGTTAATGTTTTTCATTGCTGTGTAGCTTTCAGTTTAGCATACTTACCTTTATGAATACAACTTTATACATATGATTTTATTTTATTTGTATAAGAGTATTGTAGGTTGGTATCTATTAATACTTTGTATAAAGAATTTTTGGGCCATATGCAGTGGCTCACGCCTGTAATCCTAGCACTTTGGGAGGCTAAGGTAGGTGGATTGCTTGAGCCCAGGAGTTCAAGATCAGCCTAGGCAACATGGTGAAACCCTGCCTCTACAAAAAATACAAAAATTAGCTGGGCGTGGTGGTGTGTACCTGTGGTTGGTCCCAGTTATTCGGGAGGCTGATGTGGGAGGATTGCTTGAGCCCGGGAGGCAGAGGTTGCAGTGAACTGAGATTGTGCTACTGAACTCCAGCACTCCAGCCTGGGTGAAAGAGCAAGACCCTGTCTCAAAAAAAAAAAAAAAAAGAAAAAGAAAAAAAAATTTGTTCAATTAAAAGAAATATGTGGTCTTGAATTAGGTCCTCAAAGTGAGTTTTCAAAGATTGGGTGGTTGTACCTGGCTTAACAGCAGTTTATACAAAAAGAAGCTTTTTTTTTTTTTTTTTTTACCACAAGATTACTGTGAACCAATAGGGTAATATAGTTTCTAAATAAGTTCGTGTAAAACTTGCATTATTATAATAGAATTATGGTAATGACACCAGAGGAAGTAAAAATCCAGCTTTATTTTGCATTGGCTGGACCTTGTCTGGAGGATGGTACTCTGTTTTGATTATTCATATCCCCAAGGATAGAAGAGGAGAAGAGTGAATGATTGGATGAAAGCCCTTCCAACAATGTCTTCTGAAGATGGATGGTAAAGACATAATGTTGGGGTAGCCCAGGCACTGTCACTACTTCTTTGATGGGCTGCCATGGAGCAGAGGGACAAGGTAGGGCCAGACGGTAGAGCTGCACCCAATATTGGAAGGCATTGGGTGCATGTATTAGGTGGGGGGATAATTTCAGCTCATTAGGCGCCAAAGCTCTCTAATATTAGAGGCATCCTAGAATGGGATCAGTGATCTCTGGAGGTAGTAGGCATCCTGTCACTTGGAATGTCCAGGAAGGTTCTGCAGTGGGAGTTTCAGCACCGAGTAGGTGGCTGAGCTAGACAACTTCTGAGATCCCAGTTTTGAGGTTGTACAGTCATGGGATAGAATGTACAATTCACCTATTACTGGGAGATGCCAGCAGGTCGTGTGACTAGAAATGAGTTTCAGGTCTGCCAAGGAGAAGAATTCTAGACCTGGCTTGTCCATCAGCTCTGTGATTAGAACCATCAGTTAATCTTTGGCCTTTCTTTTTGCTGAAAGGTGGAAGAGAACGTCTTGGACGTAGATGAAGTGTTGTTTCTCCCAGATGAAGCTAGCTGATGTAGAGGTTGTGAGGGAAATGGCCCCATCCTCTGTTAGCATTGGGATCTCATCCCATTGGGATGAGAATGTTTATGTGATATCCTGGTGTTTGAGGATGGTTGATTGTAAGCTACAGCTGATGAGATGAAGTCTTGCCTTATGGCTGACTTCTCAGTGTTGAGTGAGGGAAGTCCTGGGGCCTTAGACGGCAATAGGCACCTGCCTACGTAGGCAGATAGGACTCAAATAGCCTTTTTAGCTATTGTAATTGTTGGAAATTGAGATTTCTACACAGCTACTCTAAGATTCTGGGCTCTGGGAGGTACAAGGAGCCAGTGTAAAGATAAATATGTCATTTTTGGAAACAAAATTTTGTCAGTGGGTAGTGTTCTATATTTCTTTGTAATCTTCCCAAAATCCTTAGTAAAGTGTTGTTTCTCTGTTGTATTCAGGTCTCAGCTGTGTTTGGTAGAGTGTTAAAAGCAGAGTGCCAAATGCCAAAAAGCATTAGGAAATCAGTGAAAGATCCCCACCACCCGCCAATGGGATGTGAAATCTCTGCGCTAGAGGGAAGAGCCAGGGTCTAGCAGTGTCTCCTTCCCATGGCAAATGTAGAGGCGATGGATGCTATTTTTGCTAAGGACAGAGACATGTTTGTATATCCTCAGCATCTTGGCCTGCTTCTTCATCTGCTTCTGTTGTGGTTGGGTGGAGGGGTGGGTCATCCCTTTTTTCCAGCCAGGGATCAGAGATCACGGCTGGGGGTTGGTGGCCATTAAGTAGCAGTGTATTAGTTATTTATTGCTGTATAACAAATTGCCCCAAAACTTAGCAGTTTAAAACACCCACAATTTATTTTTTCCCATAGTTTCTGAGTGTCAGGAACTGGTTGTGGCTCAGGTACATGCCTCTGGCTCAGGATCTCACATGGGATTGCAGTCAAGCTGGGGCTGCAGTCTCTGCAGGCTTGAGTGAGTGTGAGGATCCACTCAATTTCAATCTCACCCATGTGGTGGTAGGCAGGATACCCAGGAGACTCCATCTCCTCACTAGGTGGCTCCCTCCTTAGGGTTGCTCATGAAATGATTTCCCTCAAGAGCAAGTATCCCAAGGGCAAGGGAGTGACAGAGTAACAAAAATGGAAATTGCAGGCGTTTATAACCTAGTCTCAAAAGTGACATACCATCACTTCTGCCATATTCTGTTGGTCACACAGACTCACCTTGATTCAAAGCATAAGGTGTAAATACCAGGAGGTAAGGATAACTGGGGATTTTAACTCTAATT
Organism: Homo sapiens; assembly: GCF_000001405.40. Classification (NCBI taxonomy): domain Eukaryota; kingdom Metazoa; phylum Chordata; class Mammalia; order Primates; family Hominidae; genus Homo; species Homo sapiens. The sequence goes on from NW_021159988.1 coordinate 49,379, forward strand.
GCAAACATAAAAGTTTAAATTAGCTCCAGAAAGATCCATATCTGGGCAGAAGGGATTGATTCATTTGGCAGACTCATTAAGCACTTCCTTTGTGCCAGTCACTGTTCTAGGTGCTGAAAATACCATGACGAACAAGACTTTCAAAGTCCCTGCTTTTGAGGATTTTACATTTTAATGATAGAGACAGAAAATGAACAAATACAAAAAATAAGCGTTTTAGATGCTATAAAGAAAATAAAAGATAAGCTAGTGAAGGGGAGCATACATCTATATGGCTTGCTTACTTGTAACTTGGTCTTCCTTCACAGGACCTCATGGGATGGTGGTATCAGTCCTTTGCCCCCTTCCAGGCCTACCTGGGCCACTTCTGTGTGGCTCAATCTATAAGAAGATTGAGGCTACCCTGGAATTGGGTAGGGAGTTTATTTATTTTTACTATTTTATTTTATTTATTTTTAGACATAGGATCTTGCTCTGTCATTCAGGCTGGGGTGCAGTGGTTGTGATCAAAGCTCACTGCAGCCTCTAACTCTTGGGTTCAAGCAATTCTCCCTTCTCAGCCTCCCAAGTAGCTAAGACTATAGGCACATGCCACTATGCCGGGCTACTTTTTTTATTTTTTGTAGAGATGGGGGGTCTCACTATGTTGTCAGGCTGGTCTCAAACTCCTAGCCTTAAGCAATCTTCCCACCTTGGCCTCCCAAAGTGCAGAGGTTACAGGCATAAGCCACTGTGCCTGGCTGGGTGGACACTTGAGAACATCTGTTGATGCCCTACTGTAGAACAAATTTTATTAGATTGTAGGCTTCCTGAGGGCAGGCTCTCTGCTTTCTTAGTCTGTGCATCCCCTAGACACCCAGATATTGTCAGATGGCCTGGCTCCCAGTCCTGTGCACTTTTTAGGTTCTGTTCTGCCCATGCCCATCATTATCCTGGAGCTTGCTCCCATGCAGGAGGTCATTCTCTGGAAGCTTTTCTGGTGTTTCCACCAGACATGACTACCAGAGTTAATGTGGGGAGCTGTGGTCACATCCGAAAGCCTCATTTTCAACAAGAGTACTTTGAAAGAGAAAAGTCTTGGCCACTTGTCAGCAAAAATGGGTATTCAGACCTAAAGTATTTTCACATTTGTTATCTCACTGCCTCTCAAAACAGACTTGTGAATTAGGCAGACTATAGTTTATCAGTCAGTTTTACAGATGAAGACACCAAGATTCAGAGAGATATAAGTATTTTTGTGTTATATCATCATTATGATGGGAGGAGCTGGAGAATTTGACCACATGACAGAGGTATCCCATTTTCTCTCTGTAACTATCCTACGTTATGTTCTGCACAATAAAATCCATGTGGTCTAGTCAAGAAGAGCGCTTCTCAGCTTCGATGTACTGACTCATTCCCCAGGGACCTCAATTGCAAATTCTAATTCCGTAAGATGGTGCCTGAGATTCTGCATTTCTCACAAACTTCCAGGTGATGCCCATGCTCTGCTCCATGGGCCACATTGTCAATAACAAGGGCCACCCTCTGTCCCCATTTCCATACATCAGAAACCAAGCCATCCATTAAAATACGGGGCAAAGATCCCTGTGCCCTTGAAACCCATCTAATGTCTGCAGTCAGAAGTACCATGTTCTCCCTGCACACCCAAGCCAAGGACTGGCTCCCCTCGGAGGGCACTGGTCACATACTGCTTGCATGAAGTGACCTTTGATCATGGCTCACACTGAATTGGACTCAGAGTGCCTCTGAATTTATGTCTTTTAAAAATATCATTGACTGTTTGTACCATGTAGGCGGTATCAGTAACGAGATGGAGGGCATTGGGTTGCCCAGCTGAGCAATTCTCTATTTCTTTTCTACTGGGACATTTCACTAACTAATATAATCTTCCAGTGATATTGACAAGGCTATGCTTTCAGGCTGTTGGGACATTCTAAGTTTAAACTGAGAAGACAGCTGACAAATAGACTCTGGGCTTTAAGCCTTTGTATAGTCTTTATAACTGGCAAATTTTGAGTCCATTGCAGCTGACCTTTACTTAGGGAAAAGTCTCTTCTCATAACATGGAAGACCTAGACATATGTTGAGGATCTTCTTGGTACCAGGCTCTGATTAGCAGCAGACACAAGATTCTTGTGGGCAGGAACCAGCTGATACTTATATCTAAATCCCCATTATCTAGAACATGTAGATGTACTCAATAAATTCTCAAATACCCACTGTGCTGGGCCACATACATATGTTATTACTTTAAAAAAAATCCAGGAAAGCATTATAACATATCCTCTGTGAATTTCTGTCTATTGAGTCTCTGTTTTGAAAGTTTAGGATTAGACAGTTTCTAGGTAAGGAAGTTGGTGATTCCTTTTTACTGGACAGATGGGCACACAGACGCTCTGGGAGTTGATTAACCCCACCTTGACATTTTTGCAGTCCTGGCTTTGTCTTACAGTGGGTCTTGGAACATGTCCAATATATACTTAGACATACTTCTCTGGGAGAAAAGCTTTTACACTTCAGAAACACATACACACACGCGCGCACACACACACACACTCTCTCTCTCTCTCTTAATTTGAGGTTGAATTTTTCTGCCCTGATTAGCTGTGTCTTTGAGCTTCAAGAGCTAGTTTTACTGTGGTTATTAACGAGGCCAATCTCTGATAGCTGGCCTTTTTCAAAAGCATTCCAGCCTGCTAAACAGTGGCCTTTCATGATTTACAAGTTTGGAATCTTTGAGAATTTTCAACAATTAAGGTACTAACTTTTCACACTCCTCTGGTCCCCAAACTTCTTAATCGCAAAACCTTGAAAACGTGCCATGGCAAGGGGAGTTTGGTGCCCCTGCAGGTTGCCTCCTGGACTCGGGAGGGTCCAGCAAGCTTGCTCAGTCCAGCAGGCATCATTTCCCGAGAGGATGTTGGCAGGAAGTCACTGGTGCTGCTCTTGAGCATGAAGCCTGTGCTAACTACGTGTGAAGTTACAGTCCAGAGCAGGCACTGTCAGATAGTAACTCCAAAGGCTCAGGAGGAAACACTTGCTTTAGCTTAGCATGTCACTGTTTTCGAAGTGCTTGCAAACTTGCCAGCTCACTTGATCTTTACAACAAAGCTGTGTGGTGCACAGACAAAAATGCTATGATCACTGAATGGGCGAAGTGAGGATCAGAGAGGTAGAACAACTTGCCTAAGGACACACAGTCAGTGGCAAAGCTGGGACTTACGGACTTTCTGGTTTCTTGTCCGAAGCTCATTCCAACAAGTGCGTCAACTCCTTTGGTTTAAGAATGTGCTTCTTTGGTGAAAGAATTAAAGATGTTGGCTTAAGACTTCTCTACCATGATCAGTGAACTGCATTCTGGTTTCACAAGACATTTATTGATCCTTTGGACATCCTATGTTCCTATTTGATCTAATAATGAATCCGGATGCACAATACCAGTAGAAAGTTAAAAGATCAAGTCTGAAAATGTTTAAAAGCATCTTTTCTTAATCATTTATTTCATTAGTTATTTCTAGTGATTAGTGAAAAAGTAGTAAAATATACAACCTTCATTACAGCTATTTCTGTCAACAACGGAAAACAGGCACAAATGAAATTTTGACACGTAATGTCTAGAATAAATAAGCATAATATGCAGTTTAATTACTTACATAAAAGCTACATGATAATGTGTGTCACAAGTTAATTCTGAATGTGATTCACTCTACCATTTCTTTTTTTATTCCTCCTGCCAAACAATGAAAATGTTTGTTAAAGGATATTTGAAACCTTTCCCAAAGACTAGGTAAACAAGCAGAAAAAAATACAAAAAAAAGAGTAAAATGGCAAGTAAATAATTTGACTTTAAGGCTAATAGTTTTGCATTTTAATTGCTTTTTTAGCTTTTTTCCTCTAAAAAATAATATATTTGTATAATACTTTAACGTTTAGGAAATACTTTTGCATGTATTTATCTTGTTTCATCCTTAAAATACACCTGTGAAGTAAACAGGGTGAATACATTTTTCACAAATATTATTATTATTATTTTTCCAGATGGAGTCTTGCTCTCCTGCCGGGGTTGGAGTGCAGTGGTGCAATCTCAGCTCACTGCAACCTCTGCCTCCCGAGCTCAAGCAATTCTCTTGCTTTAGCCTCCTGAGTAACTGGGATTACAGGCACACGCCACCATGCTTGGCTAATTTTTGTATTTTTAGTAGAGATGGGGGGTTTCACCATGTTGGCCAGGCTGGTCTCGAACTCCTGACCTCAAGTAATCCACCTGCCTCAGCCTCCAAAAGTGTTGGGATTACAGGCGTGAGCCACAGTGCCTAGCCTATTTTTTTTATAGGGGAAGAATCAGAGGCAGGGTGAGGCTTGGCAAGTTCCAAACAGTGTCTTCTAATTTATAGTTCCATATTCATTTTACAGTTTTCCCCACTTTACCCATCATTGTAAATGGAGAGGGGTGTATATGTTTGTATTGTTGTGTACAGCTGAGTGTGTTTTATAAGGTACTTCGTGCATAATCAAGGTTCAAAAATAGTATATTAAGACTTTTAAAAAATCCTTATATTATTACTTACATATTAAATTACATTTTCCAGTGTTTATAAGTCCTTTAATCTCTTTGGAATAGCTTGTAGATGCTACTAACAGTTTTTTAAAAATTAGGCATATAAATATAACACATCTAAGCAAAATTCCTAACTCAATTGTCTTGTTTCTGAAACTTCTAATAAAGCACTGTTTTTTCACAGAGAAAACCTATTGTTAGTATTAAAAATGAATAAATAAGTGGCATTACGTGTTATGGCATCATGTTGTGAAAATGTAGAGAATAAAAAGAAGTGAGTATTATCTAAAAATGTAGATAATAAAAAGAAGTGAGTATGTATCAACAGTAGGACTCAAAGGCTACGTAATGAATGTATGATTCGGTATATTTGATCAAGGGAGAAACTATCCAGAATTCCATTGCTGTGTGGATTTTTATTGATTTGAAGTAAGACATGTGAAGACTTGTATTCTGCGAAGTGTACATTTTAGCTGTTTTCTTACTATGATCATAGTTATTGGTACCTACCAAGTTCTTGCTACACTTGGATAAGTCTCATTCCCTAACTAAAGTGTGTTGCTCCTGGAAGTGCAGAAGATAATGTCCCCAGCACTCTAACTTGAATTTTTAACTTCTCCTCAAATCTATCTTTCAAAAGATCTTCATATCTACCCACTTCTCACCACGTCCATTTGGTCTGAATCTCCACTGTCTCTTGACCAAGTGCTACAGTCTGAATATTTATGTCCCCCCAAAATTCAGATGTTGAAATTCTAGCCCCCAAAGTGATGGAATGAGAAGGTGGGGTCTTTGGGGAGGTGAGTAAGTCATGAGAGTGAAGTCCTTATAAATGGGATTAGTGCCCTTACAAAGGAGGCCTCTTACACCATGTGAGGACAAGGCAGGAAGGCAGCCTCTGTGAGCCAGGAAATAGTCCATTACCACACACTGAATCCACCAATGCCTTGATCTTGGAATTCCCAGACTTTGTAACTGTGAGAAGTAAATTCCTGTTGTTCATAAGCCACCCAGTCTATGGCATTTTGTTATAGCTGCCTGAATGGACTAAGATGCCAGGAAATGGAGCAGCCTCCTATAGAGCCCACCTGCTTTCCCTGTTGCTCCGGACAACCCACTCTCCACACAGTAGTCAGAGTGATCTTTGACATCACATCCTTGCTTGAAACCTGACAGAGGTTTCCCATCCCCTTTAGAAGAAAACACAACTCTGACTGTGGCTGACAGAGCTCCACGGTGGTGGAGCCTCTGCCCACCTTACCACCCTCACATCCCACCTCTTGACTCCGGACTCACTGCACTCTGGCTGCTGGCTGGCTTGCTGCTCCTGGGCACACCGTCTCATCCTGCCCAGCACCTGCATTGGCCTTATATGACCTATCCGTAGATCTCTGTAAGGCTGGGTCCTCCTGATCCTTCAGATCTATGCAGCCTTCTCAGAGTGGCCACACTATCAGAGGCATCCCCTTGTCTCTTCTTGTCCCAGGCACTCTTGTCAGATTAACCTGTCCTTTCCTGCCATCCAGCACAGATCTCCTCTTGAAGAATATCTTCTGCCTGGTGCGGTGGCTCATGCCTATAATCCCAGCACTTTGGGAGGCCAAAGCGGGTGGATCTCCTGAGGTCAGGAGTTCGAGACCAGCCTGATCAAAATGGTGAAACCCTGTCTCTACTAAAAATACAAAAATTAGCCAGTCGTGGTTGCAGGCACCTGTAGTCTCAGCTACTTGGGAGGCTGAGACAGGAAAATTGCGTAAACCCAGGAGGCAGGGGTTGCAGTGAGCCGAGATCATGCCACTGCTCTCCAGCCTGGGTGACTGAGTGAGACTCCATCTCAAAAAGAAAAAAAAAAAAAAAAAAGAAAGAAAAATCCTTTTTTTTTTTTTTTTTGAGACGGAGTCTTGCTCTGTCGCCCAGGCTGGAGTGCAGTGGCGGGATCTCGGCTCACTGCAAGCTCCGCCTCCCGGGTCCACGCCATTCTCCTGCCTCAGCCTCCCAAGTAGCTGGGACTACAGGCGCCCGCCACTATGCCCGGCTAATTTTTTGTATTTTTAGTAGAGACGGGGTTTCACCGTTTTAGCCGGGATGGTCTCGATCTCCTGACCTCGTGATCCGCCCGCCTTGGCCTCCCAAAGTGCTGGGATTACAGGCGTGAGCCACCGCGCCCGGCCAGAAAAATACCTTTTCATTGTCTGTTTTGCTCCCACAAGAATGTAAGCTCTGAAAAAGCAAGAATATTTTATTCACTTTGCTGTCACCATTACTTAAAACAGAGTCTAGTGTGAGGTGTTCAGTAAATATTTGTGACTCAATGAAACATGGGCAAATGTAGGAGTGAAGACAAGGCATATTTGTGGAGCATCTACTATATTGAGGCCTCTCTGATCTTCCTTAACTGTAATCCTCCAACAGTGCTAGGTAGTGTCAGCTCACTGGGCACAGTGGAGTAAACTGAGTCTCAGAGAAGCTTACTAATGTGTATAAGGATTTGCAATTCTTAACAAACCCATGGATGGCACATTGACTGGAGTGTCATTCCAGGGCTGGGCTCTTCCACTGCACTGTGCAGCAAATGGCAGCCGGGCAGCAGGTGCCTTTCTTTCCTAGCACATGGATCAGTTAGTACTCATTACTGGAGGAATATGTGTATAGATAAAATGTAACTGTGGTATCTGTGAGAGGACCACCAAAAGCTCATAATACAAACTAACCATAAGGACAAAAACTTTTCAAAAGTGACAAGGCAGCCACTCTCCTGGCTGGCTCAGTTGGTGTATGCCACTCACTCTTAGTAATTTTGGGGGTTAGAATAATACTCAGAATTGTAATCCCAGCTATTTGGGAGGCCAAGGTGGGAGGATTGCTTGAGCCAAGGAGTTCGAGGCTGCAGTGAACTATGATCATGCTACTGCACTCCGGCCTGGGTAACAGAATGAGACTCTGTCTCTAAAAAACTCAACCAACCAACCAACCAACAAAACTTGTAATTGTGGATTAGGATGAAGAAGAGCAAATCCTCTTTCTACCATCACAGCTTTTCTAATACTACCTGCTCAGCAAACATTCGGCTCTTGCTGTGTCCATTCTATTTCTCTTACTAGGCAAGGAATTCCCAGTGCCAGGGGCTGTGCTGAATATCCAGGGTGGTCCCACAGCCTGTCTATCCCCAGAGGCCGACATGGGTAAGCATATGGTATGGTTGTGGGATGACTGGATGACATTTTATCCTGTCTCTAATTTCTTTGAAAATCAGAAAGGAGCATGTGGTTCTTGTCATTTCTTTAAGAATGGACCTCATTTGAATTGGTAGAGAGCCCCAGTGTGGGCGAGATAACCCTGTGAGGATAGCCCTTAATGAGCCACTTCAATAAACATTGTATTCTCCATTGACATCTTAGCCTGGACGAAAATCATTCTTCCCTTTGCCAAATGGTGAGTGCACCAAATGTGGCTCCTGACAAAGGTGGTGTCCATATCTAGGATTTACAAGCTGTAGCACCAAGCTCCTTGCAAATCCTAGGTATGGCAAACCCTAGGTATGGCTCCTTAGCTTGTTGGTTATGTTGCCAGCTTGCAAATCCTAGGAGCGTGGTGGTTATGTCCCCAGCCTGCAAATCCTAGGTATGGTGAAACACTAGGTATGATGAAAATTCATACCTATTGTTATGGGTTGATGTGTGTCCCCAGAAAGATATGTTGAAGCCCCAAACCCCAGGACCTCAGAATACAATGCTATTTGGAAATAAGTTATTGCAAATATCATTACTTACATTAACATAAGGTCATACTGGAGCAGGGTGGTCCCTAATGCAATGTGACTGCTGTCCGCCTAAGAAGAGGAACATTTGAGCCTGGAAATACACAGGGAGGATGGTTCTGTGAAGACAGAACAAAAATTGGAGTTATGCTGCCTAAACCAAGGAATGTCTGGGCCACCAAAAGCTGGAAGGGGCAAGGAAGAATCCTTCCCTAGAGGCTCTGAAAGGAATAAAGACCTTGATTTGGACTTTTAGCCTTCAGACAGAAGGCTAAAAGAACTATGAGACAATAAATTACTGTTGTTTTAAACCACCCAGTTTTATGGAAGCCCTAGAAAATGAACATATCTAGAAATAAAAATTTAGGGATAAATCCTACCACTGGCTGGATTGACTCTTCTAGGCAACTCATTTAATCCACAAAAAATGAATGAGTAAACAAAGAAGGAAGGACCCATCTGTCTGTAGTTCCCCGTGTCCAATGGGCTGAAAGAAGAGTCACTGCTGAGCGATATTCCTAGGTTGAGAAACTGGAGAATCATGGAGTATGACACAGTCCTCTATAGGAGTGGAACTCATTGCTGCCAGCTCACTGGAGTTTGTTCCCAGAATAGCTTCTCCATCTTTGGCCAAATATCAGAACTCTATGCATATTTGTCCATGTTTGATACTACCCTCCCTGCCCACTCACTTGCCAACTTGGTCCAGTCTGGTCTCAACCTCCATCATGCTTCCAGCTCATTCAAATCATTATTCCAAAGCACATTTTTGGTCATCTTCTTACTTGACGTTTTAACATCATTAACCACAACCACCTTCTCGAAGCCCTCTCTTTCCTGGGCTTCCTTACCTGTCTAAGCATTCTTCTATGATGTCTTCAGACCTTGTTCTTAAATGTTGAGCTCCTTGGCTTAATCCCTGGGTCTCTTTTCATCTTCCTACTAGGTCATCTCCTCCACACCCCTGACTCCAGGAGCCATCTACACATGACAAGTCCTCAGGTTTCGAGACCCATTTGTTCAGCTACTCATGTGACACCTCCACTGGGGTGCCACAAAAGCTCCTCAAACTCAACATATGCAACACCAGACTCAGCAATGTTTTCCTTAACTCTGGTCTTCCTTGGGGGTTTACTACCTCAGTGAATGTCTTCATCATCCATTTAAATTTGAAAGCCTTAAACCTTAAGTTCATTTCCAATATCTTTGCTTACTTCCTTCTCTCCATTTTTTTCATACAGTCGGAAAGTGTCATTATCTTGATCTCTCTCTCTCTTTTTTTTTTTTTTGTGAGACAGGGTCTCACTCTGTTCCTTAGGCTGGAGTGCGGTGGTGCCATCATAGCTAACTGCTACCTTGATCTCCCGGGCTTAAATGATCCTTCCACCTCAGCCTCCCAAGTAGCTGGGACTACAGGCATGCACCACTGAACATGGCTAATTTTTTTTTCTTTATTTGTTTCATGTAGAGACAGGGCCTCACTATGTTGCCGAGGCTGGTCTCAAACTCCTGGGCTCAAGCAATTCTCTTACCTTGGCCTCCCAAAGTGCTGGGATTATAAGCATGAGCCACTGCACCTGGCCTTGACTTCTTTCTTATCTCTGGAATTTGCCTTCTTACCTCTAACTTCCCTACCATCACTTCTATTCAAATTATTTTTACCCATCTCCTGCCCTCCCACCTCCAAATCCATTTTGTACGTAATTAGCCAGAGCGATCTCTTAAGAACACAGATATTTTCAAGTCACTCCTCTGCCCAACTCCCTTCAGTGATGGTTCATGTTTAGAGTAGCATCAAATTCTTTACATATCCTATGAGACCTTCCTAATCTGTCCTCTTAAGCTCATCCAGTTTCCTTCCACCTCTCTGCTTTTCTTCCCAATGCTGGCTTCCTTATGGTGTCAAATGGCTGCACAGGTCTTTTAGGCTTTATATCCACCTAGCAGTCTGTCCAGCAGGAGAGTGATAGTGGCTTTTAGTAGCTCCCTTAAAAAAGTATTGACCGGCTGGGCACGGTGGCTCACACCTGTAATCCCAGCACTTTGGGAGGCTGAGGTGAGCGGATCACAAGGTCAGGAGTTCGAGACCAGCCTGACTAACATGGTGAAACTCTGTCTTTACTAAAAATAGAATAATTAGGCTACTCAGTGTGCCTTTAATCCCAGCTACTCAGGAGGCTGAGACAGGAGAATCACTTGAACCTGGGAGACGGAGTTTGCAGTGAGCGGAGATCACGCCAATGCACTCCAGCCTGGGCAACAGAGTGAGAGTCCGTCTCAAAAAAAAAAAAAAAGAGTATTGACTTCAGTCTCCTCTTCTCCTTCTCAAGAAACTATGGCAAATCTCCCTTTAGGTCTCGTTGGCATGTATCGCCAATTCCTGAACGAATACCCTGGCTGAGGAAAAGTCATGAATCATTTACATTGGGCCTAAATTATCTGAATGAATGGCCGGTGCATGGAGAATAAGGTTAGCCTGATTGAATTAAAAATAACCAGCATCCACTCCTGGACTGAGGGATAAGGTGAATCCCTTTTCTCTTCCTCTATCACCACACACAAAACTCAACCACCTGGTTTCTCCAGCCTTGTGGATGGGGTAGAAGGAATGGTGGGGAAGTCACAGTGTTCAGTGCTCCTGGACTGACATCCTTCTCCTTTTTATCTGGGTAACTCCTACTCATTGTTCAAAATTCAGCACATTGCTTACTCAGGGAAATCTTCCCTGAACTATTCTCAACCCTCCCACCCATCACCAGTTACACACTGGACCTCTGTTATATACTGACAGACCTCCCTGATCTGCCCCTTTGCAATACCTACCACCACTGTTGTGGGTAATTGATTGTGAAATTACTGTGATGTCTGTATTTCCCCCACCCACATCATGGAATGCAAGCTCGGAGAGGGCAGGGCCTCTCCTGCCTTTTTCATGGCTGTGCCTTTAGCTTGCAGCATTTGAAACATCATAGGTGCTCATTAAAAAAGCATTGAAAAACCAATCAAAGCAATATATAAAATCTATAGATTATCGAAATGTATAAACAGCAAACCCTTCCCTTGTCATGTCTCTAGCCTAGTCATCAATGACAACAATGTCCTCAAATTTATTCCAGTCCTTTTATTCTGTGAATATTTATTTTTGCATGATTGGGCTTATAACGCATACATAATTTTTTATTCTGGGGCCGGGCAAGGTGGCTCATGCTTGTAATTCCAGCACTTTGGGAGGCAGAGGCAGGCAGATCACCTGAGGTCAGGAGTTCGAGACCAACCTGGCCAGAATGATAACACCTGGTCTCTACTAAAAATACAAAAATCAGCTGGGCTTGGTGGTGGGCACCTGTAATCCCAGCTACTCGGGAGGCTGAGGCAGGAGAATAGCTTGAACCTGGGAGGCAGAGGTTACAGTGAGCCTAGATTGCACCATTGCCCTCTAGCCTGGGAGAAAAGAGTGAAATTCCATTTCAAACAACAACAACAAAAATTTTGTATTCTGGGTTTTTAAAAATTGACATCATTAACGCTGATATATTTACAGAACACTGATATATTTACAGAACCATTAATGGACTTATGCAATCTCCTTTCAATTTATGTGTGTGTGTATTTTTGCTCATAAAAAACACTGCAATGAACATCTTTTTGCATAATACCATGTCTGTATTTCAGGCTGGGAATATTCTCGAAGTGGAATTATAAGAACAAAGGACATAATGTATTTTAAACTTTTTCTGTATAAGACACCAGTCGTGCTACTGGGGCATGAAGCACATGCTGTATTTTAAGCCAGAGCATGAACCCAAGATCTATTTGCAAAGCAAATTTAAACCGTCCTTCAAGAGTAATATCTATTTTTAACCTCTGTCTAAGAGTAATCATGATATTCTAAAAAATCCTTTGTATTTGGTTACTATCAAATTCATTACCAGATTATGCAAATCTGAGATTATTCATTTTGATATTCACTGGGACTATTGGAAGATGTATTACACTAACTGATTATAACAATGCTAAAAATATAGTTTTTTTGCTTCTGTCTTTTAAGAAATGATTTCTCTTTTTCCTTGCCACTTGCAAACCCCAATACTTCCTCACTCTTCCTTTTATTTTTTTCTCTCTTCCTTTTCTTCCATCCACTGTGACAAAGTGTGGACCCCCAAGGGCCAAAGACATTTGGTTGCGTTCTGACTAACAGAAAGTTTGGTATTATTTCACAAAAGAGATACAAATAGATCTTTACTGTAAAACAGATTAGCATTCTGTGGGGCTCTGGATGACAGCTTTCTTTTTTTCCCTTTGCTTTTCCTTTCCATCCCCAGCAAAGTGAACCCACAAAATTGTCCTCTGCTTCATTCTCATCTCTTCCCAGCAGAGCTGCAGGACTTGTAGTTGCATGCAGAATAATTATTTTGCCCAGTAAAATTTCCAAAAGATGCATCCTCCATATTGCAGAAAAGTCATTCATCTACTCATTCTTTCCGGAATGTTTAGTATGTGTGTGTTATCAGCCAGGGCCCATGCCTGGCACTGGAGAGACGGATAGGAAAGATCAGTCCCTACCCTCAGGGAGCCTGCAACCTTGTGGGAAGTGGGTAAGGCTCATAGTTAAGAATTACCTCAAATGAGGCAGCATGCTGTCAGAGGGCTGACAGCAGGGTGAGAGGAGGAGGAGGAGGCTCCTGCGGAAGGTCCCCGAGGCTGCGCCATACACAGAGACAGTAATGCATTCCTGTTCTTTGATATCTGGCCACATGCATTTCTGTGCCACACTGTTGGTGGCACACATCCTTACCACTTCATTCAGAAGCCCAGCTCCGAGTTCTCTGATCAAAACTTTGCAGCGTACACTTGAAGGAGCACAGGTTTGGAGCCAGAAAGTTGTGGGTTGGAAGTTCAGCTCTGCCGTTTTCTTGCCCTGTGATCTCAAACAATTAATTAAATTCTTAGTGCCTCAGTTTCCCCCTCTGTAAAATGGGACTAAGGAGGCTGATGCATACAGAGCACTTTGCACTGTGCCTGGAACCTGAAGCCCTCATTATGGGACATGATCACAATGCTGCTTAGTGTAATCGTGCCATGTTGTACCCTGGGCTGCTTTTCAAAGGCTGCGTGTCTGCGAACACTGCCAAAGGGCTGGAGGGGCAACACGTAAACCCCGCCCTCTGTGAACCGGTGGCCTCTCTGGCCACGGAAGCAGACAGGTCATTTAAAAAATGTAATTTTCGCATTGACATTCTTCATGCTAAGTCCGAGGGCAGGCATGTCCCTTCTGCTCAGGGAGAGCTCGGGGCAGTAACCCAGAAAGAAGAGGCAGCCCTCACTTTGCCATTCTGCGCCTGGGCTGCTGACAAAAGAATTGTGCAAATGAACCTTTAAATCCGTAAATAGTGCCCCCACAATGCCGGGAAGAATGCAGCGGCGACAAAGGGCAATATTCACAGTTTATCTCAGGGTGATGGATCTGAATGGACGCATGAACACGGGTTTGTTAGAGAAAGAGCCGGCCACAGCCCCCCGCCGGGAACCCAGTGGCCGCAGTCTGCAGTGCAAACAGTCAGTCTAAATCCTGAACAATTAGGGGAAACCAAGCTGCCATTATCTGAACTTCAACTTGTTCTCATGATTGATATGGGAAATGAAAAGTTGTACACGGCTCGGGGACGGCTCTCCTCGCCCTCACTGCACGCGGGGCCTCGGAGAAGGTGCATAATGTATATTTCATACACACGACATTAGTGGCCTGTGTGCCACCCAGGTTAGCACAGGGATGAGGGCAGCTCTGAGCATCAGATTGTCCCCAGGTCATTTTCTTTGTATGGTACTGGTCTCTGACCAGTCAAATTTCCCTCTTCTATCTGAGTTTTCTGAAAAAAAATCTCACCTGATAACCTCAGTAAAAACTATCAAACTTTGTTCTTGGATGAGACAGGAGTATTTCTTTGTAAGCGAAAACTGCATTAGATATTAGCTTGGCCTCACATTAGATACGGCCTTGGTCCAGTCAGCTAATCTGTCTGCACCTCGGTTTTGTCAGCTATAAAATGGGGATGGAGCCTACTCCTCATAGACATATGTGACTTAATTAGTTTGGCCCCTGGCAAATGCTGGGTACTCAATAGAAAAAAAGAGCCATATTCCCTCATCCAGTATCTTAGAGACTGAGCATTTTCTAAGCACCAAGCACTGCTGGGTGACGAGGGTGGAGCAACTCTGCTTTTGCAGGGCACGCACTGGGGCTTCTGAGCAAGAAGAGACAGACCGGCGCTCCACAGACTGTTGTAAGCTTTTCGGTGTCAGGGGCTGTGGCTTAGTCACTGTGGAGTCTCTAATTTCTGGGCTCAGAGGAGCAGCTTGATCAAGTGCTTGTTTAATGGAAGTGAGGCATGTGCTGTGGGGCAGAGGTGTGGTGCAAGCTGAATGAAGCCTTCCCATGGGCCTTGAAGGATGTTGGGATTTGAGAGGTTGATATGCAGGAGAGGACATTATTCCAAGCTGAAGCCACAGCACCACGAAGCTGGGAAACTGTGCTGCAGAGAATCCTTTGGCTGGAGTGTGGGGTTCGTGGAAGGGAAAGATAGGAGTTGAGGCTGGAAAAACAGGCCAATCATCGGGGGTCTAGAAAGCGAAGATGAAGAGTTTGCCTTTCACCCTGTAAGCAATAGGGAGAGATGAAATGTTCTGGAGCAAGGGAGTGCCATTTGACTCAAGCTGGCTTGCCTGGGGGCAGTGCAGTGGGGCGGGAGTGGCCTGCAAAAGGCAGGGTCAGCAAGGTCTGTGACTCATGGATGTGGGGAGAGAGAGGTCAAAGGTGACTAAGGTTGTGCGCCTTTGGTTCCTTCTGCACCAATTCATTAATTAATGAAACTCCTCTTACTCCTTTCCATCAGAAAGGAATGTGAGCATTCCACACACTAGCTCTTCAGTTGCCAGGAAATTATATAATCAATCCATTAATTAATCACACACACACATATACTTTCAGGGTGGGAAGCCGAGGGTATGTACTTTTCATTATCATTCAATTTTTGCAGCAGACTCATGCAGGAATCACTCTCGCTTACATTTCACAGAGAGGGGAAACTGAGGCCCTGCTATTCTCACTTCTGTTTTCGCAGATAGGTAAACTGAGGCCTGGGATAATTAAATGACTGATCGGCCCAAGCCTGAGCTGGGATTTGAACCAGGTTCTGTGTGATGACAAAGCCATTCACTGTGCTTTACGCTAAAGCGCCTCTGGTGAGGCTGGCCTGGAGGCATGCATAGATTGCACAAAAAGACCTGCACTGGGGCCACCACAGCTGAAACAGAGACTTCCAAGAACCCTCTTCAAAGCAGCCAGAGGCATTCAGCACTGCTCGGCATTCAGGCTGGAAGTATTTCCCCATTGTCTCCACCATCAGAGGTAAGTGACATCTTGAACGCCTCAAGAAGATTAAATAGCCCGGCTCCGTCGGAAAGCTTAAAAAAAAAAAAGACTGAGAGGGAGAGAGAGAGAGAAGAAAGGGGCCAAGTTGGCCATTATGGAGCTGGTCCTTTTTTGTCGGTGAAAGCGCTTTCAAGGAGCACCATTGGAAGAAGCGGCCCAGATAAGAAGACAATGACAGGAGCGGGAGAACTCCGAGAGGAACCCGGGGCTGGGCGCCGTGAATGCGGATTACTGCGGCTGGGGGCCGCCAAAGAAAAGGGGAATCCTGGTCAGGATGAAAATGAGGAATTACTTTTTTTCCCTTCCCCTCTGAGACTCCAGTTCACTGCGCAGCAACAATGCATGATGGGGGGCACTTGACATGCCCCTCTTCCAGGCCATGTTGGCGCCCCATGTGGGGCTCCCGGGGAACAAGGGCGGTGCAAACCCAAACAAAGCCGATTTTAACCCAATAAACTCACCCCACATTCTCCAATAGAAACGATGAAAGCTTGGGCTGCTGAATATCTGCCACTACCCAAACACACGGGACAAATAAGAAGTTTGGATTTGCAGATGTTTGAACATATGTAAACTTCATCTTCTATAAAATAATTCCTTCCTTCCTTCCTTCTTTCCTTTTAAAGTTTATTTACTTCCGTTTTTTTCTTTCTTTTCTCTCTCTCTCTTTTTTTCTTTCTTTCTAGGCTTTTGATGAGAGGAATACCAGGGGCTTTGGCAGCACTATTTGCAACTTTCTTGAAACAGCTTGTAGAATTCTAGTAGGTGATTAAGGTGGGATCCCCTGAGCAGGAAGAGATCGAATTTGCTCACTTCCTGGGAACATATGAAAAACCATACACTTTTAAAATGTAGTTTGTCTGAAGCTACCTCTGAATCAAGACCTTGTACACTCAACATGTACTTACGTCCAAAGAGATGAGGTGGTGAGAGAGCGTTAGACTCTGTCAGGGGCTCTGGGTTCAAGTCTGCCAACAACTTCCTGGTGGTTTTGGAAGAATCACTTTGATACTCAGTTTCAGGTCTCCTACACGGCCTTGAGTGCCTTGTTTCCCGGATAATGTAGTTAGTTGACACCTTGTGGATGACGCAGTTCACACAATGGATTTTCTACATCTCCATCTTGTATGGCATACAGTAGGTGCTTCATAAATACACGTGTGAATGAATTCTGCTTGATCCTGCCTCCCCACAAGAAAACTGAGTAAAATAATCATTGCAAAATTGGTTTTCAAACTGTAAGTGCATTTTTTCAAATGTGAGATATAATGTTTATTTTTCTATTTTTATGTGAAAGTAATTTTAAAAATATTTAGTAATGAGGATTTATAGAGCCCAAGTCCTTGTATGAAATTGAGCCCAGTGAAAATTAAAAGTAATTTTCATTTACAGAGTCATTAATCGTTTTAAAATCTCATACTATCTTAAATATAAGCACGTGGCAGGTGTTGAAATAAGAAATGCAGTGGCAACCTAAGTGATGAACGTGGGAAATCCTCATCTCTCTACAGACCTATGCAGGTATACAGGCATTTGGTGTCTCATGCATCCCGGAATAATATCAGCTTTTATATCTAGTTTTCACTTGTCTTTTTAAATTTGGATTATCGGCTGGGCGCGGTGGCTCATGCCTGTAATCCCAGCACTTTGGGAAGCCAAGGCGGGCAGATCACCTGAGGTCGGGAGTTCAAGACCAGCCTGACCAACATGGAGAAACCCCATCTCTAATAAAAATACAAAATTAGCCGGTGTGGTGGCGCATGCCTGTAATCCCAGCTACTGGGGAGGCTGAGGCAGAAGAATCGCTTGAACCCGGGAGGCAGAGGTTGCGGTGAGCCGAGATCACGCCATCGCACTCTAGCCTGGGCAACAAGAGCGAAACTTTGTCTCAAAATAAATAAATAATAAACAAATAAATAAATTTGGATTATTCTTTTTTTTTTCTTCCCTGCTCTTCCCTTTCCTCCTCTTCCTTTCCCTTCCTGCTCCTTTCTCATTTCCTCCCTCCTTTCCTTCTTTAACTGTTAGAATTAGAGCCCGCATGCCTATCAGTATTTAAGATCATGGAGGAAAGACAGTTGGGCAACTTCATGTGAAGCACGTTTCCCTCACTTCAGAATCCCTCCCTCTTGGAAGTGAACACAAGGACTTGGATGGTTCAGCTTCACTCTGAGGGTCTCTTGCCAGGAATGTCTGTCCTTCCCAGGTAGAGGAGAACAGCCTCACAGCTGCTCCGGGAGGCCCTGGATTTGCTCTCACAGGAATTCAAGGCTGGGATCCTCCTGAAACAGGCAACCATGTGGCTAGGGGAAGGGGAAATGAGCTGTATCAGAACCAGCATCTCATTGCACCCCTCTAGCTGAGGCCCTGAGTGGGAGACCCAGAACTACTTTGGGCTCGGTTTCCTAGGATAAGAATACCAATGCCTCAGGAGAGGACAAGTGAGCTGGTGTTTCTGAAAGCTCTGCGGAGTGCTCACTAAAACAAGAGCGACGTGTGGAACAGGCGGTGTGGCTATCTCATCCTCAGCACAAGTGCTCATGCATGGTGTCTGTGGATCTGAATCTGGCCCCACCACTTAACTAGGTACTGAGTCTCCTGTGCCCCAGTCTCTTCAACTGTGCAGTGAGCTACTAACAGCATTCTCTTCACGACTGCAGGAAGGGTGTAGAGATAACACAAGTAAGGATCTTAGTAGAGTGCCTGGCACCCTCAACATGAATGTTAGTCATTTAAAAAAATTCCTTGACCAAGTAGTAAGGAGGAAAGTGGGAGAAAGGGCAGTATCCAGGAGAGAAGATTAGCTGAAAAAAATGGACTTCTCTCAGTTGAGATCTCCTAAAGAAGACTTTCCCAAGGATGCTCAGGATTTCATTGGCTCTCAAATGCTGCTGCAAGGGGAAATAGAGTATCTCATCTTCCCCGGCTCCCACCCCATGCTCTAGAATTGTAGGTGGAATCACTGAAGAAAGAAGGACTTTGTGCCCATTCCTGACTCAGATGAGGTGGGTCTAGGCTGTACGAGCGTTGGGAGAGGACAAGAAGAGGGAGGATCATCTCTATTAAAATTTTAAAATGTTTCACTAGGTTTGTTTTGAAAATTCCTTTCCCTTTGATATTCAGCATGTTTAGCTGTTGGCTTTCCCTAGGTTAGGCAGTGGAGACAAACACTGCCCCTCCCTAAATCCCAAGAGCTCACACCAGCTAAGACTCATTGCTCACTCATATTTACTGTGGGCAACAGGTTTGCTAGAATTCTACTTTGCTCCATGTATCTTTAAAAAAAAGCTTTCTGTTTTTTTGTTGACCAAATTTTACAATGGTAAAAATATTAATCTTACAACCAGGAGGTATTGAGCACTTGTTATGTAGAAATCAACCTTGAGTTTCAAATGTTGCCGCCACTGGTGAAACTTCTCATGGGAAACTCCTATTACAGTTGATGTTCCAGGTGACATGTTAAATAGCAAGAACCAATCTACTGTGCTTCCAGATTACTATATTTTACACTAAGTACACTACCTACAAATTAAATAAAATGGAAGCAGTTAACTTATAAGATTCATATTTTATACTCTACACTTCTAACATATTATACTAACAATTATAGCCTATCATGTTTCTAATTGAGCCATTGTATAATCTCTTAATAGAATAATACTAAAAAGACACAATAAACACACATTTTTGTGGAGAGAGACAAAAAACATCTTGCAGTTGTCCTGGATCTTCAAAGTGGACACAATGGAAGGTGGATCAACTTGGATGGGGAGCCGCTTCTGTTTCCAGGTGGTGTGGACACAAGATGGAAGCTAGCAGCTGCTGCTGAGGTGTTGCTGGTTGCCATGGGATCCTAGTGCCAGGCCAGAAAGGACCCTTTGTAGAGGAAACTTTGGGGGATCTTTGTCTTTGCTATTAGAAGAAGGGGAAGCACTGGTTGTCCTTATCTGAGGAACTTCTCTCTGGAACCTCATGGAATATCAGAACCCGGCTGCTCCCCTCGCATGTAAGGTGGTTGAATCAAGAGCAGCAGTTGAGCTTCTGCCTGTACAAGGAGCACCATGACAAGCTGAGAACCTGCTTGTTGAGAGACCTCAAAGGGTGGCAAGTGGTCAGCACTGGGCACCAGACCACGTGTTCCACATCACAGCCTGATGCTGTCCTTTACCAGGGATCTCGCCATGGCAAGTAGTGTGTAGTGTGCCCTTGGGCCTCTGCCAAATGCCTCATTGGTAATTTCAAGGATGGAAGGATACTTTTACAGATCTTTACATTCTTGCTCAATCAATTTCTTTCTTTCATTTTTTTTTTTTTTTTTTTTTTGAGATGGAGTCTTGCTCTGTTGCTTAGGCTGGAGGGCAGTAGTGCAATCTCGGCTCACTGCAACCTCCGCCTCCCGGGTTCAAGTGATTCTCATGCATCAACCTCCCCAGTAGCTGGGATTACAAGCATGCACTACCACGCCCAGTTAATTTTTTGTATTTTTAGTAGAGACGGGGTTTTGCCACATTGGCCAGGCTGGTCTTGAACTCCTGACCTCAGATGATCCACCTGCCTCGGCATCCCAAAGTGCTGGGATTACAGATGTGAGCAGCCACACCCGGCCTCAATCGATTCCTTTGTGATATATCTATATTTATTTATTTATTTATTTATTTATTTATTTATTTATTTATTTTTGAGACGGAGTCTCGCTCCTTCACCCAGGCCGGAGTGCAGTGGCGGGATCTCGGCTCACTGCAAGCTCCGCCTCCCGGGTTCACGCCATTCTCCTGCTTCAGCCTCCCGAGTAGCTGGGACTACAGGCGCCCGCCACTGCGCCCGGCTAATTTTTTGTATTTTTAGTAGAGACGGGGTTTCATCGTGTTAGCCAGGATGGTCTCTATCTCCTGACCTTGTGATCCGCCCGCCTCGGCCTTCCAAAGTGCTGGGATAACAGGCGTGAGCCACCGCGCCTGGCCTATTTTCTTTTCTTATGTTATTGTGGTTTTTCAGCTAACAAAGCTCTCATCCCAAAATCATGAACTTTTCTTTCTTGGGAAATAAGAAGGTTTTCATAATAGTTATTCTTCCAAATTTTTCTGAAATAATGTTGGCTTGAATTTTATAGGTACATAACTCTTCAGATGCATTCTAATGTTTTCTTCTGCATTGGAAAGATTCTTTTTTATTTTTACAGGGCAAATTCTCTATAGATTGGATATGGGGTAAACATTTCTTTTTCTCAATGAGATTTAGAAAGAAACAGATGTTTTTGCAGGAGCTTTTGTGACTCCTTTTCTGACTGTTTACTGGCTGCACTGAAGCTTTCTTGGTTTGGGACTTTGCATGTGCTCTTTAAGTGCATTGATTATTTTGGTTTCTTTAGTTAATTTCATGTACATTTTGTTTATTTTGTTTTGCAGAGTTTAAAAATAAGTATATATACTCCACCCCATAAATTAGTTCCTTCGAAACACTTCTGGAATTATCTTGTAAGAGATCACCATTAGATGCCATTCATATATTCAATTCCAGGTTCTCATGATCTGTGTTGTCTTGCTCAAGAACAGCAGCCCATTTGTTTATCACTAGCAAGTGTTCACTTAGAATCTTGACATGATTCTTTTTGTTAAGAACTTGCTCCACAGGCAGTCTAGAGATTTTTTTAAATTAAATTTTTTTTTTTTAAATTTTTTGGGAGACAAGTTCTCACTCTGCTGCCCAGGTTGGAGTGCAGTGGCATGATTGCAGCTCACTTCAGCTTTGACATCCCAGGCTTAAGTGATTCCCCGACCTCAGCCTCCCAGGCAGCTGGGACCACAGGTGTGTACCACCACTCCTGGCTAATTTTTCTATTTTTTGTAGAGTTTAGATCTTGCCATGTTGCCCAGCCTGGTCTTAAACTCCCGAGATCAGGTGATCCTCCCACTTTGGCCTCCCAAAGTGCTGGGATTATAGGCTTGAGCCACCGCTCCCAGCCCAGTCTAGAGTTTTCCGAGATTTTTTTTTCTCTTTAGTAACTTTGTTCACTCCATTTTTGAGATTCTTGTGAAAGCAGCTTCATGCGTCTTTGAAGACTGGAATTTTCCTCCAAAGTCTCTGTTAGTGCTCCTGAAGCTGTTCTCCATACTTCTGAGGGATTTTGAAGAATGTTTTGCTTGTAGCCACTTGTTAGATTTGCTTAGTTGAGTCTTCTAAGGACTGGGACTTGCTTGTAATCTCAGTCATCAGCTGAACTTCCTGTAAACATGTAGATTTCTGTTCTTTTTCATGTTTCTCTGTAATAATCTATTCTAAGACCAAGTAGAGAGTTAGAGCTTTCCAACTCTTTATTCGTGGTTTTCACATTTGCTATTTATGATAGTTTGTTCTTGAGTCTGACATCTAGGATAGTGGATTTAAGGTCTCCAAATTCTCTTGCAATGTGGCAAAACCTTTCAAAAATATGATGCCTTTCTTTTGAAAGGACAGAGACTCCAGTGGCCAGTTCTTTGTCTCCCCTAGCATAGAAACTCAAAGTTTTAAGCATAGGAACTCCCACTATGATGATAAAAGCTGTCATCTCCCATACAGCCTCCTTGGGGATGCTGCATTGTCTGGCATAGAGTCTCCAGGCCAAGCATCACACAGAGGATCAAGGCCAAAGAGGATCCTCTGGGGCTCTCAAGATCTCTGCCATATCTCCTCCGGTTGCCAGGACCCTGCTGGCCATAACAGATGTCAGAGCTAGCTCCATGGTGAGCACACTGTGCAGGACCCCCTCAGTCCTGGCACTAGGGATGACTTCAGTGGAGGTGAGGGAGGAGACACGAAAAACAGTGTCCCCCGCCTTCCCATATCCTGACTCACAGGACAGTGATCATATCACATGACCTTAGGGATACATTCTAGGTTTGGCAGGCCAGAGGGAATGGCAGGTGGCTCCAGCCATCTTTGGCCTTTGGCTCTGAGAAATAAAAAAAGACTGATATGTTTTCACACCAGTAATCATTCTGGGTCTTCACTGCTCCTCTTTCTCATCTCTCCTTTTTAAAATTGAGATGACATTCTATAATATATGGCCAGGTGCAGTGGCTCACATCTGTAATCCCAGCATTTTGGGAGTCTGAGGTGGGAGAACCTTCAGGCCAGGAGTTCAAGACCAACCTGGGCAACATAGTGAGACCCTGTCTCTACATAAAAAAAATAAAAAATAAAAAAAGACATTTATATAACATAATGTTATATTATATATATGTTAAATATTAAAGTGAACAATGTAGTGGCATTTAATACATTCACGGTGCTGTACAACCACCACCTCCATCTAGTTGGAGAACATTTTCATCATAACAAAAGAAAAACCCCAAACCCATTAATAGTTGATCCCTATTCCCCTCTTCCCTCACCCCCTGGCAGCCACTGATCTGTGATCTGTCTCTGTGGATTTCCCTATTCTGAATATTTCACATAAAAGAAATCATACAATACATGATCTTCTGTGTTTGGCTTCTTTCATTTAACATTAGTTTTGAGATTCATTCACTTTGTAGCCCATATCAGCACTTCCTTTCTTTTATGGCTAAATAATACTCCATTACATGTGTATTATTTGTTTATCCATCCATTCATTGGTGAACATACCTGCTGTTTCTACCTTTTGGCTATTCTAAATAGTGCTGCTATAAGCATGTGTGTATATGTATTTGTTTTAGTACTAGTTTTTAATATTTGGACCAGGGATGTCCTGGTGGAACTGCTGGGTCATAGGATAATTCTACATTAATTTTTTTGAGGAATCACAAAATTATTTTTCACAGTGGCTATATCAGTTTATAACTTCACCAGCAATATACCAGTGTTCCAATCTTTCCACATCTTTACTAACACTTTCTATTTTTTATTTTACTTATTTTTTTTTTTGAGAAGGAATTTCACTCTTGTTGCCCAAGTTGGAGTGCAATGGCGCGATCTCAGCTCACTGCAACCTCCGCCTCCCAGGTTCAAACGATTCTCCTGCTTCACTCTCCCCAGTAGCTGGGATTACAGGCTGCACCACCACACCTGGCTAATTTTTTTTGTATTTTTAATAGAGACGAGGTGTCACCATGTTGGACAGGCTGGTCTCGAACTCCTGACCTCAGGTGATCTGCCCACCTCAGCCTCCCAAAGTGCTGGGATTACAAGCATGAGCCACCACTCCCAGGCTTTATTTTCTATTTTTTAATTACAGCCATCCTAGTGAATGTGAAGTAGTATCTCACTGAGGTTTTGATTTGCATTTTTCTATGACAATGAACAATGTTTCATGTGCTTGTTGGCTGTTTGTATATCCTTTTTGGAGAAATACCAATTCATGTCCTTTGCCCATTTTTAAAGTGGATTGCATGTCTTTTTGTTGTTTAGTTGTAAAGATGTGGGTTTTTCTTTTGAGACGGAGTCTCGCTGTCGCCTAGGCTGGAGTGCAGAGGCATGATCTCGGCTGACTGCAATCCCCACCTCCTGGCATCAAGAAGTTCTCCTGCCTCAGCCTTCCAAGTAGCTGGGTTTACAGATGCCCACCACCATGCCTGGCTGGTTTTTGTATTTTTAGTAGACACGGGGTTTTACCATGTTGGCCGGGCTGGTCTGGAACTCCTAACCTTAAGTGATCTACCTGTCTCTGCCTCTCAAAGTGCTGGGATTGCAGGCATAAGCCGCCATGCCCGGCCCAAAGTTTCTTTATATGTGCTGGATACTAGGCCCGTAACAGATATACAATTTGTAAATATTTTCTCTCATTTTGAAGATTTTCTTTTCACTTTCTTGATAATGTCCTTTGTGTATTTTTTGATAATGTCCTTTGATACACAAAAGTTTTTAAGTTTGATGAAGTTCAATTTACCTATTATTTTCTTTTGTTGTTCATTCATTTTGTGTCCTATGTAGGAATCTATTGCCAAATTCAAGGTGATAAAGATTTACCCCTATGTTTCCTTCTAAGAGTTTTATTGTTTTAGCCCTGATATTTAGCTAAACTTAATTGATTTATTAAGTTTAATTTTCCTATGTGGTATGAAGTCATTTATCTTCTTTAGTTCAGGATCCAAGTGAAAGGGGCATCTTCTATCTGGGACATGCCATTCTCATGACAGAGGAAAAAGACAAAAAACTGACACATACAATGACTTTAAAACTTCACTCAGAGGTGGTATATAGTGTATCTGCTCTCACTGCACTGGCAAAGTCTGAGGTCAATGAGGCATTGGCTATTCTCCTCCCTAAGGGAATTATTGAAACCCCCCCAGGCAATGGCAAGAATGAAACATCTCTTACAGGGGAGAGAGAAACAGATATTTGGGAACAATAATAAAATCTACTATAGATGCCCTAGAAATTATAAAACATGGATCAGAAAACTAGAATTCAGAGTACAAATATCTACAGGGAACTTTTGAACATTGCACATCTAGCTCTATAATCCATTTTCTGAAACTGCTGGGGTCAGATGGCTTCGTAGTTCAATTTTTTTTTTTATTTTTAGAAGAGAAATATAGTCCATACGTATAATATACCGTATAACACTCCCAGCGGGATCCAGGCCAGTATCTTGTAATTAATACATTATTATTTTTTGCAGTAAAACAGACAACTCTCTACTAAGTAAAATTTTGCTGCTAAAATTGTAAAAGTACATTTAGATCAAGTCAGATCTTGCTGCCAAATAAGCTTAAAAAGCAACAAAAAAAATTCTTCTTCCCCTGATTTTTTTTTTTTTTTTGGACAGAGCCTCACCTGTTGCCTAGGCTGGAGTACAGTGGTGCGAGGCTGGAGTACAGTGGTGCGAGCATGGCTCATTGCAGCCTTGACCTACTGGGCTAAAGAGACCCTGCTCCCTCATGCTCCTGTGTAACTGGGACCACAGGCATGTGCCACCACGCCTGGCTAATTTTTTGTTTTGGTGGAGATTGGTGGTGGTGGGAGGGGTTTGTCTCACTATCTTGTCTAAGCTGGTCTTGAACTCCTGGGCCCAAGGGATCCTCCTGCCTTGGCCTTCCAAAATGCTGGGGTTACATTCTCCTCTTTTTTTTTTTTTTTTTTTTTTTTGAGACAAGGTCTCGCTCTGTCACTCAGGCTGGAATGCAGTGGCATGATCAAGGCTCCCTGCAGACTTGACCTCGTGGGCTCAACTGATCCTCCCACCTCAGCCTCCCCAGTAGTTTGGACTAGAAACGGGTTTTCATCATGTTGCGCAGGCTGATCTCAAGCTCTTGGGCTCAAGCGATATGCATGCTTCCACCTCCCAAAGTACTGGGATTACAAGGTCTCCAGCTTTTTACTATTTATTTATTTATTTATTTATTTATTTTGACAGAGTCTTGCTCTGTTGCCCAGGCTGGAGTGCAGTGGCATGATGTCAGCTCACTGCAACCTCTGCCTCCCAGGTTCAAGTGATTCTCCTGCCTCAGCCTCCCGAGTAGCTGGGATTACAAGCATGTACCACCACGCCCAGCTAATTTTTGTATTTTTAGTAGAGACAGGGTTTCACCATGTTGGCCAGGCTGGTCTTGAAATGCTGACTTCAAGTGACCCGCCCTTCTCAGGCCCCCAAAGTGCTGGGATTACAGGCATGAGCCACCTCGCCCGGCCTCCTGCTTTTTTAAAGGGCTTTTTGGACTTCAAATTGTACGTGAGGAATTGTCGGCTTGTATTTTGGAGAGCCAGGCACATTTCTTAAAATAATTTAGGAGAACCAATCAACAACCACATACCTTCTTTTTTCTAGATGGTAATCAGACAAAACTTCTTCTAGATAGCTGAATGACTTATAAGACATCCTTTTTTTGTCAGGTACTATTTGTCAGCAGTTGGACATTTTAGGTGGCCCTGTGTTTCTACCCTGCACAAAGCTCTCTGTAAGGGGTCTTTGGGGAAGACCAAGAAGCATGTGGCCTGCTCCTTGTCCTCACTCATGACCTGCTTGGTGAGAGCAGATAGTGACAAGCAAGGTTGTTTTATGGCACGTGGGTGGGTAGCTGGGGCTATGAGAAAACTTCAGATGGGTGAAGGCTGATCAGGGAAGGTTCCTGGAGGAGGGCAGAGAGGCTCTCTGAGCATTCCAGGTGGGGAGAAACCCCTGGAGAAAAAGTCTGGAAGCAGGAGGACCCAGGCAGGCACCTGCAGGGAGGCTGAGGCTGTGGAGTGGAGAAGCTCCAGTGCTGCCAGCCTGGCTCAGGAGCCTGTTTGTCTGTTTTCAATGTTTATGGGATAGAACAGCTTCTTTACAGTGATCTCTTTTTAATGGAGTTATTATAGAGCAAAAGACGTGTTTACCGGAAAGTTTAATTAAAATGTACTTCCTTGGGAATTATGTCCCAGGAGCAAATGAGTTTAAGCAGGTCACTTGGCACACACCCGTCCGGAGGTGCTGATCTCATTCCGGACTCCAGGGAGAGGTGTGGGAGGGGGTCTGAGCAAGGCAGGAGAGGAAGTGAGGTGGGGGCAGGGGAGGCAGCGAAGGGCAAGTGTGTTTGCTGTTCCTGTAGGAGCTTGTCTCGGGCAGACTTTCCAGGCTGTGGGGAAGCAATTGCTCCTCCTGCCTGGGAGCCAGCCTTCTGCAAGGGGCTTGAGACACAGTAGACAGCTGCTTCTGTGATCTCCAAGTGAATTTTCCAGACAAATGATTCCTGCCTGCCTGATGATAAGTCAGGCTCTTCCACCTTGTTACCTAGGGTACCTTCTTCAGCCCTGCAGGGGCCTTTGAAATTTGAAAATTGCTACTAAAGCTGTCAAAGAGTTCACTCTGGTGGAGGATGAGATGAGAAAGACAAGACAGCCCCAGCAAATGAATCCATCAGCAGGGCCTTGCTGGGTGTGAAGAGGTCCTTGGTCCTAACCAAGGTACAAGGAGATATAAGGCACAGCTTTTGCCCTTGATTCTCTCTCTTGTTGGAAAAGCAAGAAGGTCTAGAAACATTTATTAAGTCCTCAACATGGTCTGGCCCTCTTCAGCATGATAGTGGTCTAAACCCCAAAATAACTGCCAAACGATTGGTTTAGCATCCGTGGTGCCATTTTGGAGAATTCTGAACAAGGCACGATGGGTGCAAAGTGATGGGGTTGGCGAGTGGTGGGTCTGAGCCTGGATCTCGGGTTCTTTGATGTGAGTTTGCACCATGATCTCCCAGCAGGATTTCCAAATGGGAACTGAGGCACAGGAAACATGTTTCCTTACTTGGATGTTTTTAGGCTTTACATACTCTGTTTTTCCTGCAGAAAGTCCTCCCCTGCCTTCTCTTTCTAAGGACTCGTGGACAAAGGCCCGCCTTCCAGAAGAATTCTGCAAAGACTTCCAGACAGTGTAGGAGACCTGCTCACACCACATCCCAGCTGCACACACTCCTGTTCATTTTCCTTTATTTGTTGTCACTGCCACTAATCTGATCTTTCCAAGAGCACTGCAGGCATGCTGCCCAGTGCCTGGCATAGAGAGGTGCTCAGGAACTTGCCAGTTGAGGTGGCCTTCCGGGCACTCTGTTGCTGTGGATCACTGTCTATTGGTGATCAGTGGCAGGCCTTGGACTCCAGCCTGTCTGAGGTTGTTCCCAGGTGTCAGCGTCTGCAGGACCCTGATTCTCGCACGTAGCTGCCATGGCCGGGAAGCCAGGCGTGGTCTGGCTGAAGACACTCGGTCTGTGTTCTGAATGTCGGCATTCCTGATGACGGAGGACGCTTCAGGCTTCTCTCTCATGTTGTGGTCTGAGAGAAGGGAGAAGGGAGAGTACTCTTGGGGTCTGGGGTAGGGTAGAACTCAGGCCAAGGAGAATCTCAGGCAGGGCTAGCAGAGATGGGAGCTCTTTTGTGGAGGGCTGGGACCGAAGGGAACAATGCTGGGGGCAGTTGGGCAGCAAGAGAAGCACCATCCAGATGGGGCCCAGGACAGCCACAGGGCAGGTTGACAATTCTGACCAGGAGTGGGTAGAGTCCCAGCGCTCCACCCCCTTGTCCCAGTCAGAGTCCTCCCTGGCCTCTGAGAGCTTCCTGTCTAGTTCTCCCATACCAGGATCACGCCTGCTGCAGATGTGGTTGCCAGAGGCCTCTTCTGAAATTGCAGAACGTGCCATTCTCCTGCTGAAATCCCCTGACAGCGCCGTGGTCTGCGGATGTGGTGGGGTCTCAAGGTGGAATAACAACAAATCCTGCCGGGGAAGGCGCTTTTGAGTAGGCCACGTGCAGGCTGAGTCCTGAAGGTCCTCTGAGTCCTGAAGGTGGATGTTTATGTCAGCAGCAAGTGACACACTGGGGAGGCAGAGTGGGAAGCAAGGCTCTCCCTGGCAGAGAAATGGGGCAAAAGCATAAAGCCAGCAGCCAAGCCTGGTGAAGGAGCGCCAAGAATGCGGGAGCCGAAATCCGAGGGTGGGGAGGTGGGAGATGTGGTTAGGACTCAGGAGGCAGAGGTACCAGGAGTGGACCCCAAAGGGTCTCGTGTGATCACTGAAGTTCACATCAGTGAGGAGCCCTGAAAGATGTTTTTTGTGTTTTGTTTTGTTTTTTCCTGTTATAATATTGCATGTAAAATACAATTGGAGGCGGGGGGAGGAAAATGAGGCTCTAGCTGTATTTGGCTTTCTAGCCCTGTTTTTTCCATTCACCAAGACCTTGTGAGCATTTCACACAATCTGAAAATCCTTCATGCACATTTCTGTGACTGTGTAATTGTCTCTAAAACAGATGTGTCAAAGAGTGTTTACTGTTTTTCTAGTTTTTGATATTTAAGTTGTTTTCCCTTTTTTTTTTTTTTTTTGAGATGGAGTCTCACTCTGTCATCCAGGCTGGAGTTCAGTGGTGTGATCTCGGCCCACTTCATCCTCTGCCTCCTGGGTTCAAGTGATTCTCCTGCCTCAGCCTCCTGAGTAGTTGGGACTATAGGCATGCCCAGCTAATTTTTGTATTAGATGGGATTTTGCCATGTTGGTTAGGCTGGTCTCAAACTCCTGACCTCAAGTGATCTGCCTGCCTCAGCCTCCCGAAGTGCTGGGGTTGCAGGAGTGAGCCACTGTACCTAACCTGTTTTCACATTTTAGCAGTAAAAATAATGTGGTAATAAATACCCTATACATATATCTTTAATTTGCATCTCTATTTTCCTAGAATGGATTTTTAGAAGGAAAATTCCTGGATAAAGAGACATGGACACTTTTAAAGCTGTTAATACCTGTTGTTGAATTGCTTTCTCAAAATGTTCCACACATTTCATGTTCTCTACTTGGCAGGACACTATAATGCCTGTCTCATTGTATCCTCATGATCAATGAGACTGATGATTTTATAAAGAAGTAGATATTTTGAGAGGGGAAAAAAAGTATTTAGTTAAAATTAGACTTTCCTTGATTTTTGAAGTGAAAACATTTTCAGATATTTATTTACCTTATTATGTATTTCTTCTGCAAATGGTTCTCTTCCTTTGCCCAAATTTTATTGGATAATTTTTCTTATTTATTTAGAAAAAGGCTTTGTATAATATGTTCAACATGCTAACCCTTTATAGTTGTTGACTTTTTTTTTCAGTTTCCTATTTGCTTTTTAATTTTATGGATGTTATAATGTAAATATCTAGATGGTAGCTCAATAGACCTTAACAACCTCAAGTTGGTGGAGCCAAGGATGTAGGGAGGGAAAAGGAAGCCCAAGATGACTTGCAGGTTTCTGTGTTGGACACTGGGGAGATGGTGGGAGCCTCAGATGATTCAGGAGGCTCAGAAGGAAGGCATGCTGTACTGCATTGAACATGCCTGCAAAAATTCTCAGCTGAGATGTTTGAGAAAGAGTTAGGGATAACATCTGAACCTCAGTCATTATATGCAGCCAAGAGTGTTTATTGAAAGAATGAATGGATATTTTGATTTAAATCTCACCAAAGGCCAATGCAGTGGCTTGCGCCCATAATCCCGGCACTTTGGGAGGCTGAGGCAGGAGGATTGCTTGAGCCCAGGAGTTCGAGACCAGCCTGGGCAACATGGGGACACCATGTCTCTATAAAAAATAAAGTTAAAAATTAGCGCTGGGAGCAGTGGCTCACGCCTGTAGTCCCAGCACTTTGGGAGGCTGAGGTGGGCAGATCACCTGAAGTCAGGAGTTCAAGACCAGCCTGGCCAATGTAGTGAAACCCTGTCTCTACTAAAAATATAAAAATTAGCTGGGTGAGGTGGTGGGCACCTATAATCCCAGCTTCTTGGGAGGCTGAGGCAGGAGAATTGCTTGAACCTGGGAGGTGGATGTTGCAGTGAGCCGAAATCACGCTATTGTACTCCTGGGCAACAGGAGCAAAATTCTGTCTAAAAAAAAAAAAAAAAAAAAAAAAAAAAAAATTAGCTGGGCGTGGTGGTGCATGCCTGTAGTCCCAGCTACTGGGGAGGCTGAGGTGGGAGGATCACCTGAACCCAGGAGTTTGAGGCTGCAGTGAATCATGATCCCGCCACTGCACTGTAGCCTGGGTGGTGACAGAATGAGATCTTGTCTCAAAATAAATAAATAAATAAATAAATAAACCTTGATGGAGAGTTCTGGGAGGAGACATAAGCTGTGAGTTTGTGTCAGAATCAGAACTAGAGCCCAAGTCTCCCTCCTCCTGTTTCCATGCTTGTTCCTTAGAATCAGATGCAGTGTGGAAGGAGAAGAATCAAGCCAGTGAGATAACTTATTTTTTCAACTTCATTTTCCTTTTCTTTTTTTTTTTTTAAATAAAAATCTGATCTCCACACTCCTCTCCAACCTGTAATTGGCTTCTTCTTCCCCATAGGGAGATGGGCCATGTTTTGGATACCTCAAGCCAGATTAACTTTGGAGACGGGCAGAGGAATGTATTAAATGTTTATCATAACACATCTGCTCTCCATCTGCATTCAGTAATTTAGTCTTTTCTACAACAAGTGGTGTTAATATGGCGTAATTGACTTTTCCATTACACTAGATTAATTAATAGGAATCAATATGTTAGAAACATTAACAAGGTACAGCACATTTAAAACCTTCAACAATTAGTACTCATTCCCTTGCATTTCTATCACTAAGGGGGAAAAGCCACCACCAGCAGCACCACCAATAACAACAACGTGCCTGAAAACTCTGTTTTTCATGAAGAAAGGTCAGAGCGTTTTGGTTTGTTTTTTGCTTCTGCTTTGTAACCTGGCAAAATCAGATAAAACCATATAGTATTTTATTTTATAGCATGCCTATAATTTGGTGTCACTGGCATGAAAATGCTCCTCCCCTGGAAAATTCCTAAAATAAGGGTCTTTTCCTTGGGGCTGGATCACTTTGAAAGGTATTTGTCATGGAGGATCTACAGGACGGTGTAGGGGGGCCAGGAATGTGTCCCCGCAGGTTGCCAGACTCTTTGTCAATCTGCTGTCCTGCCGCCTTCCATTGTGGCCTCCCATTGCCCTGGGGAACAGGGAAGGAACTTTCCCTTGCAGATCAGCTGCCCTTACGGAGCATCCGGTCAAGAGGTGCCTCTCTCTGCATCCTGCTCCATCTGCAGAATGGTTGCAGCCAGACGCAGGTCTCCATGAGGAGGGGATCAGAACCTGGCATAGCTGCCTGCTCATCATAGTCTGAAAAAAATCCACAATTGAGTCTCAGCCACGCTCCCTCATCACTCCTGTTGAACATCATGGCAGTGATGGAGGGGGTGAAACTGAGTCCCAGAGAGGAAAGAGACCAGTGTGAGATCTCCTGACAATTAGAGACAGATCCTTGGGGAGAACCCAGATCTCCTTCAGCTCAAAAACTATCACTTGAAAATAAATGTTGAGAGGGTCCACTCACAGCAATCTCCATGTAATACTAATTTTTGGTTCAAGGATCACTTCCAGAAAGCACGGTGTGATCCCGGCCTTACAAATAGTATTACTAAAAATGTCTTGGGGGGTGCAATGTGTATGATTGAATTTCCGATGTGTTTATTTTGCTCTGTTTGATTTTTCTTAGTTATTTCAAACTGGGAAATTACAGTTCAGGACTCAAAGGCACAAAGTGGTGAAGAAGGAAGGGTCTGAAGGAATATCCCTGTGCCCGTGGCCCATGTATCTGGGCCTAGGCAGGCTGGGCTGGGGCTGTGGGATGAGGCCTGGCCAGCTGGCTGCTTTGGGGACCGCCAGCCCCTCTCGGGCCTCCTCAGCGTTGCCTGGAGACCGTGCAACAATGCTTCCCGAGCAGCCCAGCGATGATCTTTTCTGAAGTGGCAGCCCCTTCAATTATTTTATTTCCATTATATTACGTTAATTAAATCAGCAAAAAGAACAGAGCACATGCATGTCCAAAGTGGAGTGGCTGTGAAGGGTTAATCGAAATGGCCCTGGCTGCTGCTGGGTGAGCAGGAGCCGCCAGCCAAGGACAGACCATATTCCATCGGGCCCAGCCAGGGTGAACATCAGGAAGCATGGTGGGCCTCGCCTGGGCCTGCATGTTGGTCTCTGTTTCTACAGTGCTCCTGGACCCCTGGCTGCCTCTGGTGGGTGCAGATGCAGCTGGAGCACCTGGCTGGGGGCTGTAGGGAAGGGACCCTGTGGCCCTATGAAAGACAGCTTAGCACCGCAGCCAGACTCCGTAGAAGCACATCCGCCAACGTGACGTGGCACAGTTGACTGCCAGGAACGAAAGATGTTGTGGATAAATCATCTGAATGCTCTCAGGCAATGCTTTTTTAAAACACCAGGGCGCTTTGCTGTAAAATCTTATACTGACTTTCCCAAATAAAAACCAAATAAGAACAGGGCTGCTTCCATAGGAGACAAAAGTGGGGTAACGGCAACCTCTCTCGTGCTCCACCTTTGATGAGGAGCACAGCTTGGAAAGTAATGCTTTAGCTTGAGCCCAGGAGTTCAAGACCAGTCTGGGCAACATAGTGAGACCCCCACCTCTACAAAAAAAAAAATTAGCCGGGCATGGCGGCACTCGCCTGTAGTCCCAGCTACTCGGGAGGCTGAGGTGGGAGGATTGCTTGAGCCCAGGAGGTAGAGGCTGTAGTGAGCCATGATCATGCCACTGTATTCCAGCCTGGGCCACTGAGTGAGACCCTGTCTCAAAACAAACAAACAAACAAACACAAAAACTAGTGCTTTAGAGCACCCTTAGGTGTAGCAAAACCAGGGGTTTTATCTGGGCTGCTGGTTTTGGGCTTCTGACAACATAGCTCTCCTATTCTAATGTTCCAACACCTGCAAACATGGGCTTTAGGACTGGGGATTTCTGTGGTTGAAAACAAAAGTTGCCCTCCTGCCTCAATTTACTTGCCTGTATAATGAACATAAAACAATATATGGCTTCCTGGGCTCATAAACTTTAAGAAGTGATGCATAAAGGCTGCTTCCCTGTCTGTCATAAACTCTTTGGGGAAGGTGATCAGCCTACTTCTTGAGGGTGTCTTTGTGTTTTTGTAAACACAGTGCTCAGAATATCATCCTTCCACCTCTTCTCTTACAGATGGGCAGTAAGGTTGCTGTTTGAGGCTATTACTTCACTCTTGGGCTTCTACCGAGACCTGTCTAGGAGCCCGAGGATCTGCACCATCTGATTCTGGTCTTGTTTCTAACTTACTATGAGACAGGAGACCGCCCCTCCGGTCTCTGGCCTGTGATTTCTTCCTCACTCAGTGAAGGAGTTACTGTCAATGATCTCCTAGGTTCCTCCGCAGCTGTGGCATCCTCTCATTTGAATACCATCAATAAAAATAGCAATGCAATGCCTTATGTTTAAAAGGCAACCGAGCAATTACTCTAAAGTTTATTTCCTGCTCCCTCCAATGTTGCAAATCTCCTCAGTTTTAAAATTAAGTTGTAAATGAGATTTGAGTTCCACATCACTTGCTTTGTTCTCTCTCCAAGAGAAAGAGTTGAATCACCAGTTCAAAGCAAACTTACACATAACTGAAATTCAAAGGCGGTTGGAGGGATTTTCTTTCTCCTAATCTTGGTTACT